>NC_000004.12:157406229-157709259 GCF_000001405.40 Homo sapiens | reverse complement strand
CATAGTGTCTTTCTTAAAAACAATTCCTGTAATGTTGTTTATTTTCTTTTTTCCTTTACAAGTCTCAGATCCTTCTCCTACAGTTCAGTGATAGGGCTTTAAATAAATTCAGAAGACTTTGCCATTTGGTTCAGTAAATCAGTTTCCCTAGTCTTTTTTCTAGTTTGGGGAAACTTCAATGAAGCATTGGTTGCTTTACAGAAAAGATAATCTTCGGAAAGTGAGAAAAAGAAGTGACAAGAAAGATTTCCAGATGGAAAGAAATACGCTCTGCAAGTTTTGGCATCACCTTGACTTCAGTACTTCTCTCTTTTGCTTTTAAACCAAAGAAATGTTTATACTTAATAATTTTATTGATGTATCTTTCTTTTTTGCCCAAGATAGTATTCAAAGCAAAGATGTGTGTGTATGTGTGTGTGTCTGTGTGTGTGTTTTATGAGTTTTTTTAAAAAATTTTTTTATTATTATTATACTTTAAGTTTTAGGGTACATGTGCACATTGTGCAGGTTAGTTACATACGTATACATGTGCCATGCTGGTGTGCTGCACCCACTAACTCATCATCTAGCATTAGGTATATCTCCCAATGCTATCCCTCCCCCCTCCCCACACCCCACAACAGTCCCCAGAGTGTGATGTTCCCCTTCCTGTGTCCACGTGATCTCATTGTTCAATTCCCACCTATGAGTGAGAATATGCGGAGTTTGGTTTTTTGTTCTTGCAATAGTTTACTGAGAATGATGATTTCCAATTTCATCCACGTCCCTACAAAGGACATGAACTCATCATTTTTTTATGGCTGCATAGTATTCCATGGTGTATATGTGCCACATTTTCTTAATCCAGTCTATCATTGTTGGACATTTGGGTTGGTTCCAAGTCTTTGCTATTGTGAATAATGCCGCAATAAACATACGTGTGCATGTGTCTTTATAGCAGCATGATTTATAGTCCTTTGGGTATATACCCAGTAATGGGATGGCTGGGCCAAATGGTATTTCTAGTTCTAGATCCCTGAGGAATGGCCACACTGACTTCCACAATGGTTGAACTAGTTTACAGTCCCACCAACAGTGTAAAAGTGTTCCTATTTCTCCACATCCTCTCCAGCACCTGTTGTTTCCTGACTTTTTAATGATTGCCATTCTAACTGGTGTGAGATGGTATCTCATTGTGGTTTTGATTTGCATTTCTCTGATGGCCAGTGATGATGAGCATTTTTTCATGTGTTTTTTTGCTGCATAAATGTCTTCTCTTGAGAAGTGTCTGTTCATGTCCTTCGCCCACTTTTTGATGGGGTGGTTTGTTTTTTTTCTTCTAAATTTGTTTGGGTTCATTGTAGATTCTGAATATTAGCCCTTTGTCAGATGAGTAGGTTGCAAAAATTTTCTCCCATTTTGTAGGTTGCCTGTTCATTGTGATGGTAGTTTCTTTTGCTGTGCAGAAGCTCTTTAGTTTAATTAGATCCCATTTGTCAATTTTGTCTTTTGTTGCCATTGCTTTTGGTGTTTTAGACATGAAGTTCTTGCCCATGCCTATGTCCTGAATGGTAATGCCTAGAAGTCAAATTGTCCCTGTTTGCAGATGACATGATTGTATATCTAGAAAACCCCATTGTCTCAGCCCAAAATCTCCTTAAGCTGATAAGCAACTTCAGCAAAGTCTCAGGATACAAAATCAATGTGCAAAAATCACAAGCATTCCTATACACCAACAACAGACAAACAGAAAGCCAAATCGTGAGTGAACTCCCATTCACAGTTGCTTCAAAGAGAATAAAATACCTAGGAATCCAACTTACAAAGGATGTGAAGGACCTCTTCAAGGAGAACTACAAACCACTGCTCAAGGAAATAAAAGAGGATACAAACAAATGGAAGAACATTCCATGCTCATGGGTAGGAAGAATCAATATCGTGAAAATGGCCATACTGCCCAAGGTAATTTACAGATTCAATGCCATCCCCATCAAGCTACCAATGCCTTTCTTCACACAATTGGAAAAAACTAAAGTTCATATGGAACCAAAAAAGAGCCCGCATTGCCAAGTCAATCCTAAGCCAAAAGAACAAAGCTGGAGGCATCACACTACCTGACTTCAAACTATACTACAAGGCTACAGTAACCAAAACAGCATGGTACTGGTACCAAAACAGAGATATAGATCAATGGAACAGAACAGAGCCCTCAGAAATAACATCGTCGAAGATGTTTGCCATAAAAGAGAGCTATGTTTATCAGGAACATAAAGTAAAAACACTGTCTCTCTATCTATAGTGTATTAAATATATATAATTTGTAATCCCTTATTTGTTGTGATTTGATACACTGCTATATGATTCATCATGCTTCTGCATTTTTTAGTGGCATTTTTACTGTGCATAGTCTGACGGTCAATATTCTCTCCTCACAAAACTTTTCAAAAACACATTTACCTAGTGCTTTTTTCTGAAATCAGTGTGGGTTGAAATCCTAACATGAAAGAGGACAAGGTATCAAAGAGTTTGATTAAGGTGATTAAGTCTATCAATAGACTTAATTATATGAATTTCCCCATAATGGGGGTATATGATAGCATTGAGTATATGATAGCATTCTCAAAGGGAACGCTTTGAGATTATGGTCTGTTGTGTTCAAACTGGAACAAATTCATTCTAACTTGTACACCTTATTGTTTGTTGCACTGAATTGCCTCACTGGTCTTGCACTAAGCGACAACACTTTTATTGAAATAAATTTTAATTTTGATAACTCCAGGCAAGAGCCACGTGTATGATGAAGTGTTATCACAGATGACAAGATGGTGATAAATATGAAATTAAAATAGCCTTCAAATTTTGTAGACAGTTTTCTATTGTGCTTACTTGGCTCATGATACTGTAAGCTTATAGAACAAGTGGCAGCCTAGTTAATCATTAGCATCATGGGATAATTTGTTATGACAGAACACCATGTGTGCTCATTAAACACAGTGACTTTTTCATCCCTTTAATCTTGCTTACTTCCTTTTGTAATTCTTGTCTACCAAATCTGAAGACTATACAACAATAGAAAGCAAGAATTAATAGCCATGCCTATCATTATATAAAGGCATCATAGAGATTTTTACTCACTTAAAATTTGGGCAATAATTTCACTAAATGACAGTGAAATTATCTACATTTATAAATCCTGAATTGACACACTTTATATTTACCCACAAACAGTATGATATGATGAAGCTACTGGATTATGTATTACTATATGTTTTATAAAACTAGATATTATTACGTTAATATTGAGGGTTCACTTAATTGTACAAGGCCATATTCACAATATTTAGATAAAAACTTCAGTTCATACTACAAAATATAAAAATATGAACTTTTACATTTTGTATCTACTTTGTCAAAATTCATAATTTACTTTTGAATTTGGTTTTGCCAAATTAACCCTTTTATCGACAAATGTAATGGTTCTACTTCGACCTTTAGGCATTGCAATTACTGTGTGCATTTTTCAAATTACTTCAAAGTAGCTGTGAACATGAACATTCTTAGTTTTAGGCAAACCCAGTTTTGAATCATGACTTTGTTACTTATGTATTTAACCAGAGGCAAGTCACTTAATTTCTGTGAAGGCATGATAGTCCTCAAAATGAATATTAAAAGAAGCAATTCACACAAAACCCTGGCACCTAGTGGGTCCATACTAAAATATAACCACTTGTTCAAATACTTTGTATTTGTGAATACTTATGAGTAAATAACATTTGTGTAGCTGAATTATAGAAAAACATTTAAAAAGTGTTTTTTGCTTGTTGGAAAAAGAAAACCAGAAAAGTAGCGGGTTAAACAATTATCAAAATTTATTTTTGTCTCAAATGAAAGTAGTTGAGAAATCAGTTTCCCATTATATAGTGAAGACGTGTATGCTCATATTTTAAAACTCAGGAATTTACTCCTAGGCATTAAACCTATAGGAATTCTTGCAAACAACACTCGTAGTGGCATTGTGTATTAAAGCCCCCAACTGAAACAGCCCAGATGTTTGTTAATATTAGAGCAAATAAAATTTTCATATCGGTAATAAATAGAATTCCATAATTCAGTGACTCTGAATGAACAACAGCAATATGCAACCACTTTAATTTCACAAAGAATATTGATTTTAAAAAAGGAAATCGTAAGAGAATAAGTATAATATTATTTCATTTATATATGACCTAAAAACAGGCAAAACTACACACGTTTGTGTGTGTGTGTGTGTGCGTGTATATATACACACACTCATAGTTTTACTGCCATATAGTTTACGTTATTTACATATTACATTTGTGTTTTATATATATACGTATATACACAAAGTGACTGCAGGCAGGAAAACTATATGGGTGCCTAAGTGATGCTTTTAACCTGCTAGGAAGGTTATATTTCTAAAAATGGGATCAAAATACATAAGCATTAATATTGTTATTGTTTGTGAAAATGATTATATTATTTTTGTTTATATAAATTGCATGTATTTATTTGTATGTATATTTCACTGAGTTTCCTTGTTTGCTTTTATGGAAGAAATCTCCAGGTTTTAGATGGATGCCTACTTTCTGTTTCTAGCATGGTTTTAAAGTTATCTTTTTATTGTATCTCAGCCTGCAAAGAGAAACACATTTTAAAATATTTAGAATAAGGGCCAGACATTACAGTTGTGAAAATATAGTTAAAAATATAGCATTACAAATATCAAGCAAATATAAAAATTAATATAGTAGTCAGAGAGATTTTTATATGAGTATAAACAGCCTTATAACATTCAACATTTCCTTCTGCAAAATATATCAATCTTTATATTTGAAAAAAATTCAACAATGATTAGGACTCATTTAGTAATGGTGCCATGACCTGGATTCAGACTTCATTTAAGAAGAGGAAGAAAGATAATGTATTTTAATAAATTTTCTGCAAAATTTTTAAGATAAAAATAAAACATCGTAGGTTATCTGAAAATTGTGGATTCATGAATATACAAATGGGAAGAAACTTAGACACCTAAATCTTTTCTGTTCTACAGAACAGGAAATTGAGAACCAGAGATAAGTACTGATTTCCCCCAAGGTCATTATGAAAATTAATGTCAAAGCTAGTTTTAGATATTAAATCTTAATTCCCTGTGTTTGCACCACCCCATCCCTTTATTCTCCCAAATTCTGTATAAAAGATGTATTACAGTCATATTTACTATTCTTTTTAAAATTTTTTTTATTATACTTTAAGTTTCAGGGTACATGTGCACAGCGTGCAGGTTTGTTACATATGTATACATGTGCCATGTTGGTGTGCTGCACCCGTTAACTTGTCATTTACATTAGGTATATCTCCTAATGCTATCCCTACCCCCTACCCCCACCCCACGACAGGCCCCAGTGTGTGATGTTCCCCTTCCTGAGTCCAAGTGTTCTCATTGTTCAATTCCCACCTATGAGTTAGAACATGTGGTGTTTGGTTTTTTGTCCTTGCGATAGTTTGCTGAGAATGATGGTTTCCAGCTTCATCCATGTCCCTACAAAGGACATGAACTCAAATGCAGAAGTAAAAAATTATGATTATATTGAGCAAATACATTAATAAGTGTTTGCAATGTTCTAGACGGTTATAAGCATTATAGGGGTATCCACTCATTTTTTAATTTGTTTAATTAATAATTTTTTTGAGACAGAGTCTCACTCTGTCGCCCTGGCTGGAGTGCAGCGGCGCCATCTCAGCTCATTGCAACCTCCGCCTCCTAGGTTCAAGCGATTCTAATGCCTCAGCCACCTGAGTAGCTGCAATTACAGGCATATGTCACCGCGCCTGGCATTTTTTTTTTTTTAATTTTTAGTAGAGATGGGGTTTCGCCATCTTGTCCAAATTGTTCTCAAACTCCTGGCCTCAAGTGATCCACCTGCCTCGGCCTCCCAAAGTACTGGGATTACATGTTTGAACCACTGTGCCTAGCCGACTCATTTTATATATATATATGTATATACATATTATAAATTAAGCATCCGTTATCTATTGCTGCCAACCAAACTAGCCCAAAACACTGTAACTGAAAACTGCAACCATTTTTTTTGATAATTTTGTAATTTAGCAACTTGAGCTGATCTCACTTGGTGCACTGAGGTGACTGTAGCGATTTCATGGTTGATGGAGTCTGTGTGGTTGACAACGGCTTCCCTCACACACTGGGTGACTAGTGCTGGTTGTCAGCTGGGCCATGTGACTCCAACTGACTAGATGGCAACTCTTCACATGACAAGAGTGTGCTGAGAGTCCAAGCCCTAAGGCAGAAGCTCTTTTTATTTATTTTCAGTTTTGGTGTATAATGAAGGCTAATGGGTTCCTATAAATTATTTGGTTAGACTAGAAATCTGTTATCTAGAAAATCCGCTTTATTTAATTTTTTGTTTATATTTTCATATATTCCTTTAATCTCTGAGTTTTATAAGAATAGCTTTGAATGTCACACTGTCTTAATTTCGTTGAAAGCCAATTTAAAGAAATGTTTATGTTCTTTCAGAGGAAGGAGAGAGCGTATTTCTGTGGTCAGTGTGCTTGTGTTACAATAAGAAGCAAATGAAATCTGAGAGAGAGAGAAAAGCCCAGGGGAAGATGCTTCACTTTTAGAATCTCCTTTCTCCCAAAATTAGTGTCCAACTCATGGAAGCTTTCTTCTCTATTTCAGTGAAGACAATCATTCTTATTTAGTAGAAAAACCATTTTTTTCTTTTGTAAAAATTTTTAGCACAAATTATATAATCCAATCTACAAGTACCTCATAATTCTCAGCAGAGCTTTTATCTGTTAGACTGAATGAACAATATGTCAGCTTAGTAGATTGATTCTAATTGATCAAGCCACTTTGTTTAGGTAATTTTTAAACCAATTGTCTTTTCAGTCTTAATTAACATGGACAGAGCTATAGGAAGACAGAAATTGTTTCTGAATGTTGCCTTTATTACAAATGATCACATAAAATTGTTTAATAGTTATATCAGAATGATGTAAAAATTAATTAGTTTTAGATAAAAATAAAAGTGGAGCAGAACTTGTAACTGCTATTGAAATGAAGAAGGGTATGTAATACTTTATACAGCAATCTTAATCCACATGAGCTAGAATAAGGGAAACATTTTAATACATATTCTAAAATAGTAAATGATGACATAAAATGTTTTACTTGAGTCAAAAATAGTCCTCAGCCTTTCTCATTTTATTGTTTGCTTTTGTGCTTTTGTAGTTTTATTCACATCTTACTATCTCGATATGATTTTTTCTCTTCACTATCCTTCTGACTTTTTTTTCACATTCACAAAATCTCCTAGAATCACTAAACTCTGTAGTGGAGTTTCCTCTTCCTGAATGTATCGTGTTCAGGAAATTCCTTTCCTATTTCTAATTATATTATATAACTCACCCCACTGGGCCACATGGGGATCAGAATATCAGCTCTATGAATGAGACAGATGGATTTGTGAATGCAGGTGGAACCTAGTGAGGGTTTCCTACTCATTGTTCCGTGAATTGAGCTTGCCCATTCAGTCATGGGTGCACAAATGGAGACCGTGGGATGAGCTTTAGTAGGAAACTGCCTTTGTTGCTTATCACATTGGAGCCAGAAGCAGAGAAAAGCTATGGTCCTTATCAATGTACAACAAGCAGCAACATAGAAAGCAAGCCAAGAAACCAGGCCTGAACCGTGAACACATGTGCTTTTCTCTCAATTTTGTTATTCATCCGGTCATACATTTTGGCAACAAGTATGTATTGAGTACCTTCTGTGTCCCTGGCATTGTTTTAAGTACAAGAGCTGCAGAAGTGAGTTAGATTGGCAAGGTTCCAGTTCTCAGAAAATTTACACTAAGGTGGGGTTCATAAACAATAAAGAAACAAATGTAGTAGTACTAAAAAAGACTGTCAGAACAGAGCCATCAGAAAATAAAAATAGAGTGATGAGCTAAGCAGGGACATTGTCAGTCTCCAGAGCAGTACTATAAATGAACAAGATAATGTTCAACCACTGCATGAGAAATTTTGAGACATTTCTGAAAAATGGGAAAATTGAATAAGATTGAAGAAGAAACCAGAGCAGAGCAAACTGAAGTCAAGAATACTTGAAATATAAATCCACTACTCAAGTGAGAACTTTTTCCATTACAGAATCTCAGAGGAATGTCAAGCACAAAGAGAATTTCAGAAAAGAAGGAAGCCAATGGGACAATCATCAAAGTAATTAATTAAGACTATATTCTGAGATATCTGAATCCATTGGGACATTCCCTTGTAAATAGTCTGAGAGGTGGAGCAGAGGCACATTCCCCAAAGGTATATCCCTAAGAATACCTTTCTCCTTTTTTTTTCTTTTCAACTTTTATTTTAGGTTCAAGGGGCACTTGTACAAGTTTGCTACATGGGTAAATTAAATATCCAGGGTGGTGGGGGGTAAGAATAACTTTCTAAATAAAACAACCTGCTTAGGTAGAACTGCTGGCCACATAGTTACTACTTGCAAAAGATGTCAGAAGAACCTGAGATGATAAATAATATTCATAGAAGAAACAGCCAGGAAAAGTAGATTCTCACATTTGGCCTTAGAACAAACATTCTGTAAGTCTAGCTTCTGAAGGAGGACTTCCAAACCAAGAGACATCCAGAGTAGAGGCTGCCATTTGGGAAGCAGAGGTGGATGTAAGATGCGATCATACATTTGCCAGCTGGGTTGTGCCTAAACACCCTGACAACACAGCATCTGCACAACCTACCCATTCACATGTCTATCTATAACATTATCCCCATGCAAACACTCATACACTCATACACACGGGGTAGAATTTAAAAGACAGAGCCTGCTTTTATGATCAAGAGAACAAGGATTCTCATTTGAGTGGAGGAAATAATCTTTTCTCAATTTTTGGCAAGCCAAGAATTAATGAAGATTTTAGAAAAATCATATGAGGAATAAGATACACTCATTATAAAATTATGTTGCTCATCTTTTTGTTGTATCTTCATAAAAAATTTTATTGTAAAAATAAATTTAGGTATTTATTGGTCTTATAAATGGTAAATATTTTCTTGCGTAATTTATATTTTTCTTCATTTATGGCATGTAACAAGTTTTATATTTTTACGTGCACAAGCATTTCTTTTTTCATTTATGGCTTATGAATTTAGCATCATGCTAAGAAAAATCTTTGTTCATCTAATCATGTAAAAATATTAATATTTCTGTGTTGTGTGTTATCTCTTTCATGTAAATCTACAGGAAGTTAATTCATAGGGAGTTACGTTTTGTTTTTGTATTTTGTGGAAGAAGATTCGAGCATTTTCAAAAGATTATCATAGCACACTGAAATTTGTTATAATAATTAATTACTTTCTTGGTCACCAATTTTAATGTCTCATTTAACATACATTAAATTCTTCTTCTTGAATCTACACTTTGTTCTATTCATCTTTCAACTTCCTTTTAAGAAACATTTTGATATTTAAATAATTTTAGTAGGCACTTCAAATGATATATAGTATTTGTTTTTAGATTTTTTAACATATTTTGCAGTAAATTTATATAACATACATTGTATTTTATTTATGTATATTAATCTTAAATGTCTATTTTACTGAACTCTGTCATTTGTTATTTTTTCCGGGTTTTTTTTGTTTGATTTCCTGTGTAGAGAAGCACATTATTTGTAAATAATAATACATTATCTAACTCCATCTCTTATTTCATTGTATCAATTAGATCCTTCACACGGTGTTTTATAATATATACCTTTAAGATGTACTTTTTCCCTTGGGTATTCATGTGACTTCTTCTAGTATTTTAATAGCAGATACTTATGTTCTTTATTTTATACCAAAAATGTTTTTCAATGTAATATAGTAAGAGACTTGTGGGGTTTTTTGATAATTAAATTTTATCCTCAACAGTAGTGAATATTGAATTTTATCAAAATACATTTGGGATTCTATTGAGGTAATCATATATTTTTCTCTTTAATTATATAATAAATTACATAAATTGATTTTCTAATATGAAATCACTCTTGGATGCTAAAGTAACCCCAGTTTGGTCATGGAATATTAGCCTTTAATAACACTCATGGATTTCATTTACTAATATTTAAGGCTTAAGCACCTATAAATGATGTTGCTCTACACTGCTGTTTTGAAAGATACTTGGGTGAAGAGGGAAATGCCAGTTGACGTTACATAATCTCTAAAAAATAATGAGTGAAAAACTACATATCCGAAATTCTACACTATATTAAATCAGTTAAGAGATGAACAAATCATAGCCATAAACATTTGTATCAATAAAAATGAAAGAATGAAAATACATGAATTAATTTCCTAATTCAAAATGCTGGGGGGCGGGGGCAGGAAATTCAAATTAATACAATAGGAAGGTGAATAAAAGAAAGTTTAAATAAAAAATCCACGAAATATATCTTAAAGAATATATTTACTTATTAAATCCAGTCCTTTGAAAAATTAACAATATATATGTATTAGAGCTTTCCAAAGAAACAGAACCAGTAAGATGCATATTTACAACTCATAAATTTAGGTTTTAAAAACTTTATGAACTCAGAATTCTTTTAAGGAATTGGCTCATGAAAATGTAGGGGCTGGCAAGACTGAAATCTATTGAGTCCAGACTGATGTTGCAGTCTTGTATACAAAGGCTGGAAACTAAGATAAGTTTCCTATTTGCAGGTTGGAGGCAGAAATTGTTCTTCTTTGGGGTACTTCAGTCTTTGCTGTTAAGGCCTTTAGATAATTAATGAGGTGCATTCGCAATATAGAGGGTAATCTCCTTTACTCAGTCTACTGATTTAAATATTAATCACCTTGAAAAAATACTTCCACAACAATGTTTATTAGTGGGTGACCAAACAACTGGAGATCATAGCCTAGCATATTATTGGAACAATAATACCAGCCTAGCATGGTATTGGCATAATTATTGGGACATATGATGACAATATGCTATAAAATATATTTTGGGATGCATTATTGGTATATAGAATAAGAACTGTAGCAAGACGATAATACTGTATCATGCTAATTTCCAGATTTCAATCATTTTATTGTGGTTAAGTAATAGAAAATACACACTGAAATATTAAGGAGGAAAGGACAATTTACTCTCCAATGGACAGATAAAGAAAATGATACCACTAGTTCCCAAAATATTAACAGTTGGGGAATTTGAGTGACATATATACTTTCCCTTCAACTCATCTATAAGTTTGAATATATATATATATATATATAATTTTTCTTTTTTTTGAGACTGAGTCTAGCTCTATCACCCAGGCTGGAGTGCAGTGCCGCGATCTCGGCTCACTGCAACCTCAGCCCGCCAGGGTTCAAGCGATTGTCCTGCCTCCCGAGTAACTGGAACTATAGGCATGTGCCACCACACCCAGCTAATTTTTTGTATTTTTAGTAGAGGCGGAGTTTCACCATGTTGGTCAGGATGGTCTTGATCTCCTGAGGTAGTGATCTGCCCGCCTGAAGTTTTTTTAAAATTACAAATTTTTGAAATTTATGCAGATTAAATCTAAAAGTATGAAAAGCATTGCTATAAACCTTTTAGAAAAAAATAGTTAAAATATCAGAATAGGATAAGATTTCTTAAATAAGTCAAAAAATACAAAATAAAATAAAAATATTGATAAATGTATTTATAATAAAATATGTTTGAAAAGGTATAGCAAAGAAAATGACAAACCACACAGATTTAAGTATATTAATATTTATGATGTTTGCTTTATACCTCTCTTTTTTATTTACTTATTTATTTTTTTTAATTATACTTTAAGTTTTAGGGTACATATGCACAACGTGCAGGATTGTTACATATATATAAATGTGCCGTGTTGGTGTGCTGCACCCATTAACTCGTCATTTAACATTAGGTATATCTCCTAATGCTATCCCTTCCCCCTACCCCCACCTCACAACAGGCCCTGGTGTGTGATGTTCCCCTTCCTGTGTCCATGTGTTCTCATTGTTCAATTCCCACCTATGAGTGAGAACACGCAGCGTTTGGTTTTTTGTCCTTGCGATAGTTTGCTGAGAATGATGGTTTCCAGCTTCATCCATGTCCCTACGAAGGACATGAACTCATCATTTTTTATGGCTGCATAGTATTCCATGGTGTATATGTGCCACATTTTCTTAATCCAGTCTATCATTGATGGACATTTGGGTTGGTTCCAAGTCTTTGCTATTGTGAATAGTGCTGCAATAAACATACGTGTGCATGTGTCTTTATAGCAGCATGATTTATAATCCTCTGGGATGGCTGGGTCAAACGGTTTTTCTAGTTCCAGATCCCTGAGGAATTGCCACACTGACTTCCACAATGGTTGAACTAGTTTACAGTCCCACCCACAGTGTAAAAGTGTTCCTATTTCTCCACATCCTCTCCAGCACCTGCTGTTTCCTGACTTTTTAATGATTGCCATTCCTAACTGGTGTGAGATGGTATCTCATTGTGGTTTTGATTTGCATTTCTCTGATGGCCAGTGATGATGAGCATTTTTTCATGTGTCTTTTGACTGCATAAATGTCTTCTTTTGAGAAGTGTCTGTTCATATCCTTTGCCCACTTGTTGATGGGGTTGTTTGTTTTTTTCTTGTAAATTTGTTTGAGTTCATTGTAGATTCTGGATATTAGCCCTTTGTTAGATGAGTAGATTGCAAAAATTTTCTCCCATTCTCTAGGTTGCCTGTTCACACTGATGGTAGTTTCTTTTGCTGTGCAGAAGCTCTTTAGTTTAATTAGATCCCATTTGTCAATTTTGTCTTTTGTTGCCATTGCTTTTGGTGTTTTAGACATGAAGTCCTTACCCATGCCTATGTCCTGAATGGTATTGCCTAGGTTTTCTCCTAGGGTTTTTATGGTTTTAGGTCTAATATTTAAGTCTTTAATCCATCTTGAATTAATTTTTGTATAAGGTGTAAGGAAGGGATCCAGTTTCAGCTTTCTACATATGGCTAGCCAGTTTTCCCAGAACCATTTATTAAATAGGGAATCCTTTCCCCATTGCTTATTTTTCTCAGTTTTGTCAAAGATCAGATAGTTGCAGATATGTGGCATTATTTCTGAGGGCTCTGTTCTGTTCCATTGGTCTATATCTCTGTTTTGGTATCAGTACCATGCTGTTTTGGTTACTGTAGCCTTGTAGTATAGTTTGAAGTCAGGTAGTGTGATGCCTCCAGCTTTGTTCTTTTGTCTTAGGATTGACTTGGTGATGCAGGCTCTTTTTGGTTCCATATGAACTTTAAGGTAGTTTTTTTCTAATTCTGTGAAGAAAGTCATTAAGTCATTGGTAGCTTGATGGGGATGGCATTGAATCTATAAATTACCTTGGGCAGTATGGCCGTTTTCACGATATTGATTCTTCCTACCCATGAGCGTGGAATGTTCTTCCATTTGTTTGTATCCTCTTTTATTTCATTGAGCAGTGGTTTGTAGTTCTCCTTGAAGAGGTCCTTCACATCCCTTGTAAGTTGGATTCCTAGGTATTTTATTCTCTTTGAATAAAATATTCAAAGGTAAAATATTCTCTAGGTATTTATTCAACACTATGTTGAATAGGAGTGGTGAGAGAGAATATCAACAGAATATACAACAGAATATCCCTGTCTTGTGCAAGTTTTCAAAGGGAATGCTTCGAGTTTTTGCCCATTCAGTATGATATTGGTTGTGGGTTTGTCATAAATAGCTCTTATTATTTTGAGATACGTCCCATCAATACCTAATTTATTGAGAGTTTTAGCATGAAGGGCTGTTGAATTTTGTCAAAGGCCTTTTCTGCCTCTATTGAAATAATCCTGTGGTTTTTATTATTGGTTCTGTTTACATGCTGGACTATGTTTATTGATTTGCGTATGTTGAACCAGCCTTGCATCCCAGGGATGAAGCCCACTTGATCATGGTGGATAAGCTTTTTGATGTGCTGCTGGATTTGGTTTGCCAGTATTTTAGTGAGGATTTTTGCATCAGTGTTCATCAGGGATATTGGTCTAAAATTCTCTTTCTTTGTTGTGTCTCTGCCAGGCTTTGGTATCAGGATGATGCTGGCCTCATAAAATGAGTGAGGGAGGATTCCCTCTTTTTCTATTGATTGAAATAGTTTCAGAAGGAATGGTACCAGCTGCTCCTTGTACCTCTGGTAGAAACTGGCTGTGAATCCGTCTGATCCTGTACTTTTTTTGGTTCGTAAGCTATTAACTATTGCCTCAATTTCGGAGCCTGTTATTGCTCTATTCAGGGATTCAACTTCTTCCTGGTTTAGTCTTGGGAGGGTGTATGTGTCCAGGAATTTATCCATTTCTTCTAGATTTTCTAGCTTAATTGCACAGAGGTGTTTATAGTATTCTCTGATGGTAGTTTGTATTTCTGTGGGATCAGTGGTGATATCCCCTTTATCATTTTTTATTGCATCTATTTGATTGTTCTCTCTTTTCTTCTTTATTAGTCTTGCTAGTGGTCTATCAATTTTGTTGATCTTTTCAAAAAACCAGCTCCTGGATTCATTGATTTTTTGAAGGGTTTTTTGTGTCACTATCTCCTTCAGTTCTGCTCTGATCTTAGTTATTTCTTGCCTTCTGCTAGCTTTTGAATGTGTTTGCTCTTGCTTGTCTAGTTCTTTTAATTGTGATGTTAGGGTGTCAATTTTAGATCTCTCCTGCTTTCTCTTGTGGGCATTTAGTGCTATAAATTTCCCTCTACACACTGCTTTAAATGTGTTCCAGAGATTCTGGTATGTGGTGTCTTTGTTCTTGTTGGTTTCAAAGAACATCTTTATTTCTGCCTTCATTTCATTATGTACCCAGTAGTCATTCAGGAGCAGGTTATTCAGTTTCCATGTAGTTGAGTGGTTTTGAGTGAGTTTCTTATTCCTGAGTTCTAGTTTGATTGCACTGTGGTCTGAGAGACAGTTTGTTATAATTTCTGTTCTTTTACATTTGCTGAGGAGTGCTTTACTTCCAACTATGTGGTCAATTTTGGAGTAAGTGTGATGTGGTGCTGAGAAGAATGTATATTCTGTTGATTTGGGGTGGAGAGTTCTGTAGCTGTCGATTAGGCCTGCTTGGTGCAGAGCTGAGTTCAATTCCTGGATATCCTTGTTAACTTTCTGTCTCGTTGATCTGTCTAATGTTGACCGTGGGGTGTTAAAGTCTCCCATTATTATTGTGTGGGAGTCTAAGTCTCTTTGTAGGTCTCTAAGGACTTGCTTTATGAATCTGGGTGCTCCTGTATTGGGTGCATATATATTTAGGATAGTTAGCTCTTCTTGTTGAATTGATCCCTTTACCATTATGTAATGGCCTTCTTTGTCTCTTTTGATCTTTGTTGGTTTAAAGTCTGTTTTATCAGGGACTAGGATTGCAACCCCTGCCTTTTTTTGTTTTCCATTTGCTTGGTAGATCTTCCTCCATCCCTTTATTTTGAGCTTATGTATGTCTCTGCACATGAGTTGGGTTTCCTGAATACAGCACGCTGAAGGGTCTTGACTCTTTACCCAATTTGCCAGTCTGTGTCTTTCAATTGGAACATTTAGCCCATTTACACTTAAGGTTAATATTGTTATGTGTGAATTTGATCCTGTCATTATGATGCTTGCTGGTTATTTTGCTCCTTAGTTGATGCAGTTTCTTCCTAGCATCAATGGTCTTTACAATTTGGCATGTTTTTGCAGTGGCTGGTACCGGTTGTTCCTTTCCATGTTTAGTGCTTCCTTCTGGAGCTCTTTTAGGACAGGCCTGGGGGTGACAAAATCTCTCTGCATTTGCTTGTCTGTAAATTATTTTATTTCTCCTTCACTTATGAAGCTTTGTTTGGCTGGATATGAAATTCTGGGTTGAAAATTCTTTTCTTTAAGAATGTTGAAGATTGGCCCCCACTCTCTTCTGGCTTGTAGAGTTTCTGCCAAGAGATCAGCTGTCAGTCTGATGGGCTTCCCTTTGTGGGTAACCTGACCATTCTCTCTAGCTGCCCTTAACATTTTTTCCTTCATTTCAACTTTGGTGAATCTGACAATTATGTGTCTTGGAGTTGCTCTTCTTGAGGAGTATCTTTGTGGCGTTCTCTGTATTTCCTGAATTTGAATGTTGGCCTGACTTGCTAGATTGGGGAAGTTCTCCTGGATAATATCCTGCAGAGTGTTTTCCAACTTGGTTCCATTCTTCCCATCACTTTCAGGTACACCAATCAGACGTAGATTTGGTCTTTTCACATAGTCCCATATTTCTCGGGGGCTTTGTTCGTTTCCTTTTATTCTTTTTTCTCTAAACTTCTCTTCTTGCTTCATTTTATTCATTTGATCTTCTATCACTGATACCCTTTCTTCCAGTTGATCGAATCAGCTACTGAGGCTTGTGCATTTGTCACGTAGTTCTCGTGCCATGGTTTTCATCTCCATCAGGTCCTTTAAGGACTTCTCTACATTGGTTATTCCAGTTAGCCATTTGTCTAATCTTTTTTCAAGGTTTTTAACTTCTTTGCCATGGGTTCGAACTTCCTCCTTTAGCTTGGAGTAGTTTGATCTTCTGAAGCCTTCTTCTCTCAACTCGTCAAAGTCATTCTCCGTCCAGCTTTGTTCCGTTGCTGGTGAGGAGCTGGGTTCCTTTGGAGGAAGAGAAGCGCTCTGATTTTTAGATTTTTCAGTTTTTCTGCTCTGTTTTTTCCCCATCTTTGTGGTTTTATCTATCTTTGGTCTTGGTGATGGTGACGTACAGATGGGGTTTTGGTGTGGATGTCCTTTCTGTTTGTTAGTTTTCCTTCTAACAGTCAGGACCCTCAGCGACAGGTCTGTTGGAGTTTGCTGGAGGTCCACTCCAGACCCTGTTTGCCTGGGTATCAGCAGTGGAGGCTGCAGAACAATGGATATTGGTGAACAGCAAATGTCGCTGCCTGATCGTTCCTCTGGAAGTTTTGCCTCAGAGGAGTACCTGGTCGTGTGATGTGTCAGTCTGCCCCTACTGGGGGGGTGCCTCCCAGTTAGGCTACTCGAGGGTCAGGGACCCACTTGAGGAGGCAGTCTGTCTGTTCTCACATCTCAAGCTGCGTGCTGGGAGAACCACTACACTCTTCAAAGCTGTCTGACAGGGACATTTAAGTCTACAGAGGTTTCTGCTGCCTTTTGTTTGGCTATGCCCTGCCCCCAGAGGTGGAGTCTACAGAGGCAGGCAGGCCTCCTTGAGCTGCAGTGGGCTCCACCCAGTTTGAGCTTCCTGGCTGCTTTGTTTACCTACTCAAGCCTCAGCAATGGCGGGTGCCCCTCCCCCAGCCTCACTGCCACCTGGCAGTTAGACCTCAGACTGCTGTGCTAGCAATGAGTGAGGCTTCGTGGGCATAGGACCCTCTGAGTCATGCACGGGATATAATCTCCTGGTGTGCCGTTTGCTAAGACCATCGGAAAAGCACAGTATTAGGGTGGGAGTGACCCAATTTTCCAGGTGCCATCCGTCACCCCTTTCCTTGGCTAGGAAAAGGAATTCCCCACTGCTTGCACTTCCTGGTGAGGCGATGCCTTGCCCTGCTTCGGCTCAGACTCGGTGCACTGCACCCACTGTCCTGCACCCACTTTCCGACAATTCCCAGTGAGATGCACCCGGTACCTCATTTGGAAATGCAGAAATCATTTGTCTTCTGCGTCATTCACACTGGGTGCAGTAGACTGGAGCTGCTCCTATTTGGCCATCTTGGCTCCATCTCTTTCTTTCTTTTTTTTTTTTTTTTTTTTGAGAGGGAGTTTCACTCTTGTTGCCCAGGTTGGAGTGCAATGGTGCGATCTCAGCTCATCGCAACCTCCGCCTCCCATGTTCAAGCGATTCTCCTACCTCAGCCTCCCAAGTAGCTGAGATTACAGGCATGCACCACCACACCTGGCTTGTTTTGTTTTGTTTTGTTTTGTTTTTGTATTTTTAGTAGAGACGGGGTTTCACCATGTTGGTCAGGCTGGTCTCGAACTCCAGACCTCAGGCGATCAGCCCACCTTGGCCTCCCAAAGTGCTGGAGTTACAGGTATGAGCCACTGCACCCGGCTTACCTCTCTTTCATTTTTAAGAAAGTAAATTATAACAATATAGTAGTCAGCACAACTTTCTTCCCAACCACTAGATAATCTCTGAAGTTAGCATCTAAATAAATTTCATATAACTGTACGATTACCACATACATACATGTGTATATGTGTGTGTGCTATTGTTTTGCATTATTAGATTTCATATTAATGGCAGCATACCAGTCATATCATTTTGCAACAATATAACCAACTAAAGATTAGTATCCAGAATATAAAAGTATCTTTAAATGAATAATAAATAGATAAGCATACCAACTTTTAAAAAGGACAAAGATTACAGGCAGGCAATTCACCAAATGAACAACAGATATATGAAAACATGCTCATTCTCACTAGTAATTAAATTAATTAAAACAGCAATAAGGCACCATTTTTCAGTCCTCAGACTGGAAAAATTAATGTCTGGATTCACCAAACACTGACATAAGTGTGAAGAAGTAAAAACCCTTGGACATAGCTGGTTAGAATGTAAATTGGTACACATATTTTGGATAAAAATATATTTTAATACATTTAATAACATTTTAATAATGTTTAATACACTTGTGCATATCCTAGCAATTTTACTTCAAAATATTTACCTTTGAGACACCCTTCTATGCTTGAGACACTTAAGAAAACCATTTTTCTTAGCAGAGATTGTAACAATAAAAAAGAATAAATATAAATTTCCCTTAGTAGACAAATGAGTAAACTATTTTGTTCATATTTGCAATATTTTGCTGCAGTTAACTTTAAAAAACCCACTTTACCGTATCAACATGTATGTAACTTAAAAATATTATGTTCAATCTAAAAAAATTACAATGTGATAGAAACTGTATGTTGCCATTAACATAAAATTTAAACCTGAAGACTAATAGTATGTACATTTTTGTTCATATCTACATACATAGTAAAGATACCAAAACATATAGGATTCCTACACATCAACTTTAGGATGGTATTTACCTAGAGGTTAGGAGAAAGGTTATCCTGGCACTATACTATTGTAATTTTTTTTAATAAGAAGAAAATGGTGTGAAGCAAACACTGAAAAATATTAATACATTTAAAATCTCCATGCAAGTACAAAGGATCTGATATACTATTTTCTGTATTTTTGAAAGATTGAAATTTGCCATAAATATACAAATTATGTGTGACAGCATTTTCCCATAACCTCATGTTTACAGATATATCATTATTTTATGAAAGTCATTTAAAAATTAGTTCATAACTGATTTCTAAAGTAAACATATATGTATAATGCTAGAATCCAAATTTTCCTGCTTTTCTGCTTCCAAAGAAATATATTTTATAACATCTTCACACAAGATTTTGAAAGTGTCCTCTCTTCAGTCTGTGAAATGCCAAAGTTCATCTTGTTATGGGAATTCCCACTATGACAGAATGTCTTAGCTCTAATTTGTGATGAAGGTGTGAGAACAGAGTTATGGCTTGATTTTTAGATGTGTCAATGTGAGAAAATGGAAAAAGGTGGTTACACAAAGAGATTGCAAATCAGACGTGCCAAACAAAATGTAATTTTGGAGAGAAATAGTCTCCATAGAACTCTTTTTTTTTTCACTGTAGTCTAAAAACTTTCCAAATACTGTTTCCTCATATAAATAGAAGATCAAAATAAATGATTTGAATTTTAATGTTGCCAGAAATGCAATGCAGTTCCCTTTGAAGGAAGGATTTAAAGATTTTTTTTTTAAACTGTAATTTCCCCTTTAATTTGGAAACTCAGATTTACCTTTGAGGCAGAGGACTATTTTTACCAGGGGATGAGAAGGAGGAATGGTAAAGCTGCTTTAGTGAGCTCCTTAAATTATATAACTGTAAGCCAGGAAAGTTAAGTTGACAGAATGCAGCCAAGAAAGTTCTCACCAAGATTCTTTCTTACAAAAATAAAATATATAAATATTTAATCAAAACTGTGTCCCTAGAAGTTAGTTTTTTGTCTAATTTTAATGTTCACTTGTGTATCTGTAACCTAAAACTTGTTAAATTTTTGACTTGAGTGGGTGTCATGTAGATCTGTGAGTGTTTGCTTGTGGTAGCATAGGGGTGTGTGTGTGTGTGTGTGTGTGAGTGTGTGTGTCGTGTTCAGCTATTGTCTCAGCTCTAGTTCGTAAGAGAATAATGGTTTATACTGGACTACAGTCAGATGCACATGCAGGCTCTGACTTCTCTTTACCTCAACATGGAAAAAAGTTTGTAAAAAGAACCAGATCCTTGGGCATTAAACAAGAAAACATAGTTTAGGTTTACACAATGGTTCCTGAGTTAAAAATAAATCAACAGGATGTTGGGAAATGTCTTTTAGTAGTAGTATTACAATTTTCCTCACTGGAGCAGATGACATCCTTGTGGATAAAATAGGACACTTCTTCAGATGTTGATGGTCCTACTGTCAGTGATACTATGAAGAAAGAGGTTTCCCCTTAAAGGGAAAATGGTTTCTTCTTTCTACAGGGTCTAGGGTCACTGGGCCACATATTAGGAGTATTACTATAAGCTGCTAATTTTCCTTTGTTCCAGCCCTCTCCCGCAGCTCACAAGACATCCCCACCATTACTACTTACGGCAACTCACAGCTTTCCAAAATCTCAACATATTCCTAAATACTTCTGCAGGCATAAAGCCCTGCCCCTGCCTAAAGCCTCAAGTCACTTGATGTGGGATATCCAGCGCTCCAGGTAAAGGTGAAGAGCTATTTTGCGGGGAAAAGCAGAAGCAGCCAAACCCAATACCCTTCAGAGAGGGAGAGTCCTGAGACCATATGCCTACACCATTAACATTGTAGGGCTCTTACTATTGGAAATGAAGCAGGAATCTCTCGCCCACATAAGACACACCACAGATACAACACAATTTGTTGGCCATGAGGAAGAGAGGCAGGCACCTTGAGAAATTCTCACATACAAAGCCCAGGCACACAGGGCTTGCCTAAGACTGGCACAAGACCAAGATAACAGAAAGCCCTCCACCACAAGCCTAGTGAGATTGAAGCAACAAGTAATAGCAGTCTACAACTGGGGACAGTGCAATTGTGGGATGAGCAACTTCCTTTGTAGCACAGGTGTGCAGAGATGGCTGAGAAATGCAAGGAAACTGTCAGTGCAGGGAAACTGACAGTGAATCAGGGCTATTGAAATACACACATGCACACACACACAAACACACACACACACAAACACACACACACAAACCAGCACACCAGGCCCATCCTTAAGGGCAAGGCAATTATAGAAGGATTTGAAGCATTTGTGCACTACTGGCGACCATAGCAACAACAAAACTTAAATACAGTTTCATCTCTGACAACACTGACTTCTTCACTCATAGCCTGACAGAATAAAATCGTGCCCATTTTTCAGCATGCATATTATTTGTATCAGTCTTTACTGTTATATACATGATATTTAGTATTCAATCAAAATTTATGAGGAAAAATGGAAAGGAAAGAAAATTCTATTATTAGGAATAAAAACAGTCAAGAGAACCAACTCAGATGACCCATATGTTGCAATTATCAGTAAAACAGTTTTTAAAACCATAATTAATATGTTAAAGAGTCTAGTGGAAAACAGATAACATGCATGCACAGATGGGGGATTGAAATAGAGATAGGAACCACAAGAAAATGTCAAATAGAAATTCAATAAGTAAAAAACCGAGTATTAGAGATGAATAGTTCCGTTTTGGGGGCTCAACAATAGAGCAGACACAACAAAAGAAAAATTACTTCTGTTTAATTTAGGCAAATTGAAATACAAAAGGAATACAGAACAAGAACTGAGCATTCCTGATATGGAGGAAAATATCAAACTGTCTGGCATTTGAGTAGTTATTATCCCAAAAGAAGAAGTGAGGAAGAATCCAGTGAAGAAGTATTTAAAGAGATAACAACTGAACATTTTCCAAAACTAATAAAAGCCGTCAAACTACATATCCAAAAAGCCAGAGGACACCCTAGAAAGATAGGCACAAATGAAAACAAATAAAAATACATATACACATTATAGTCAAAATAGTGATTACTAAGGATAAAAAAAATCTTGAAAGCAGATAGAGATAAAAGATAAATAACATGCGGAGGAGTAAAAACAAGAGTTGTAAGACAAATGTCAATATACAACAATCAATTATGCAACGCAATTCCTATCAAAATCCCAACAGAATTTTCTGAGGATATATAAAAGCCTGTATTAAAATGTGTATAAGGAAGTACATAGAATAGCTAGAAAAGTATTTTAAAGGAAGAATAAATTTGGAGTACTTACACTACATAATTTTAAGATATTATCATTACCATAATTAAGTCAGTGGAAGGCTAGAAATGGGGTACACATATAAATCAATGAAAAAGAATAGAGAACCAAGGAATAGAGCTAAACAAATATATTCAACTGATTTTTGATAGAAATGCAAATACAATTCAGTAAAGAAAAAATGTCTCTTCAACAAATGGTCTGGAGCAACTGGACATCAATAATCAAAGAGAAATCTTGACACATACCTTATACCTTATACCAATAGTGACTCAATGTAGATCATAGATCTAAATGTAAAACTATAAAACGTATAAAAGAGAACATAAGAGAAAATCTTCTCGATGCATGGTTAGTTAATGAGTTATTAGACATGACACCAAATTCATGATCCATGAAAGAAAAATAAATTGATAAAACAATTTTGACTTCATTATAATTAAAAACTAGTTTTGCAAGTTCCTGTGGGTCTATAGTTATTTCAAATAAGAAGGTAAAATAAATAACTGTATTTCTATAGTCTAGCAATGGAAAAGCCATTTATGATTTGTATTTTATATACTGATTAGCTTTATATACTGATGAATACAAAATACTGATGAGAGTAATCAAAAAAGACCTAAACAAATGAAAATCCATCAGTTTTTGACAAGATTAATTATAAATTTATATGGAATAGCACAAATATTAGAATAGCCAAAACAAGTTGGAAAAGAAGAACAAATCTGGAGACTGCACGCTACCTGATTTCAAGATTTACAGCTGCAGTAAATTAGGGGATATCTTATTTGTGGATGATAAATAAGTAAATGAAAGCTGCTCAAAATAATTAGTCATTAGAGAAATGCAAACTAAACTACACACGCACAACCCGTCCCCCACCCCAGCCCCAAAACAATAGATAACACCATGTACTGATGAGGATGCGAAGCAAGTCGAATTCTTAGTCACTGTTTGTGAGAATGCAAAATGGCACAGCCACTTTGGAAACCGTTGAGCAGTTTCTTGTACAGTTAAACATACTCTCACCTTTTGATTCAGCAATCCTACTTGGAGGGTTTACTCAAGATAAATGAAAATGTACATCCACAAAATAACCTTTACGAGGATGTTTATAGCAGTTTTATTAATAACTATCTCAAACTATAAACAACTCAAATGTTCATCAACTAGTAAATAGATAAACCAGTTGTGGAATAGCCATTAAATGGAATATGAGTGAGCAATAAAACACAATGAAAAAATTATTCAATTTTTAAATGAATTATATTAAGTGAACTATCCCAAATTCAAAGCCTATAAACTGTATAACTTCATTTATGTGACATTTTGGAAAGGCAAACTGTTAGGGCAGAAAACAATATCAATTGTAACCTGAGCCAGGATGTTGGATAATTGAGCTGATCGTAAAGGAACACTAGAGAATTTCGGGGAGAGTGAGTGAATTTCTCTGTATCTTGTTGTTGTGGTGGTTACATAACTGTATGAGTTTGTAAAAATTCACAGAACTGTATATTCAAAAAGGGTGAAAGCCTCAATAAGTCTGGCCTCAATTGAACCCTGAGAAACTAAGATAGTCTGAACCATTCTTCACACAAATCCACAAAGAGGAAAGAAGTTTCTTTGTGCAGAGGTCAGTTAGTGGAATGGGGGCCAGCCATACATAGAGGACTGCTGAGACCTGTGTAGTGAGTGATCCCCAAAAAGCCCTTGGCAGAGAAAAGCAGCAAAGTGGAAAGACAAGAATGGCAAAGTAGAGATGCTTGAGGACATATTTAGAATATATGTGTGGAAGTATTCTGAGGCTCTTCCCCAAATTACTGGAGGGTTTTTTGAGTTAAGATATTTGCTGACACATGGGTGAAGGCATATGCTCTAATAGTGTTAAAATCATAATTTTTATTCATGGTTTGGTGATGCCTGGAGCATATAGATTTCATAAATCACACACACACACTCTCACACACAAACACTTATATCATCTTTATATTTACCTATGTTATTTTCAAATCTATGTGATTTTATTTTTTTTTATTCTGAGTGGTAGAGCCAAGAAAATGAACTATGCCAGAGTGCAGACTTCAGAACAACTGTTTCTATATGAAGGCAAGAGTAGCTTGCAGAATTGTTTCCACAAATGTGAGCATGGTAATTGTGATCATTTTGTTCTATCTTTTGTAAGTGTTCTAAAATGAACAAAATATCATCTGTTCTCACACTAAGCGAAGCTGAAGTCTCTTTGGGATTTTGAACGCTGAATAGAAAGAAAAAGAGTTGAAAGAGCAATACAATGTAGCTGAGTTATAGTGTTGAATGTTGAAACATTAAAATATGCAAAAGTGGTCACAGGTAGCGGAGGTGTTGGGGGATCACAATGGTAAACTGGGGCCTAAAATTGTTTCATGTTCTAGACATCCTTACAGTTGCTGTGTTACAGTCCAGTCATGATGAGTCCTGGCTATGCTGTAGTCACATTTAAAAATTTTGTTTTTGCATTGCCATGAGATCTTGTCATGGGAATTTTTTTTTTAATTAAGGTGCCCTCAGTGTGCTTCTGTCTGACATGTTTTAAAACAAACTGATCAATGGTTGAGTCAAGCTTTCTGTGTCTTGTTTTAAATTCCAATAACTAGGTTTAATCCTTGATCCAGATACCAAGTGTCAAATATATATTCCAGACCAAATTCAGGAATACATATTTTATTCTTGCCCCACAGAGACTGGGGAGTGCCTCTTTCATTTCAGTTCTCCACAGTGATTTAAGTCCTGCCTGGTAATTTAACTTCCATCGTTAGAGATGTAGCACCTGCTGCTGGGTCAGCCTGCATCCTTTTATACAGAGTACCTTCAGCCTACCTATAACTATTCTTCAATTATCTTCCAAGACAGACTCTATCACTGATGGGTGAAATTGCTTATTACCTATTTTCTGACATCATACATTCTGCATATCATGCTCCTTCTGTACAGTCAGGTTTCCTCCTATCACATGTAACTGGCTCCTGTTTTGCTTTAAACAAATCATTTTTTATTTTCTTCTTCCTGGGAACACAGAAATACTGCATTTTCTAGCCTATCATGAGGTTATCTGGTATTGATATGAGTAGTTCCGGTCAATGAACTGTGAAGGGAGGTCCGATGTATCCTTTAGGGGTTATCATAGAGCAGCTGAGTGTTCTCCACATTCTCTCTTCCTTTGAAGCAGTGATTGCGCAGTCAAATGATGAGATGGTTAAGCCATGGGATGGAAAAAAGCAAAACAAAACTGGATTGATGGTACACTTGGAGAAGGAGCCTGGGGAGTAGCTTGACCTGAATTGTAAGTGTAGCACGAATGAGAAAAAAGCCTGTCAAGTGTTAAACCACTGATGTTTTGGAGTTTGTTACTTATGTCACTCATTGTTTGTGTTTAGTTCATAAATCTAGTCTGTTAAGGCCTGCCTGTCACATAGTCACAAAAAACTACCAACTACTGTTAATTCTGTACACTGATTCAAACTTTTTTCAGCTAAAAATACCCTTGAAGAGTCATGGCATGCCACTATACCTTGTGATGTCCCCATGGCACTAAAAAAATTGTGAAGTAGATTATATTTGTTTTTGCTTATTAAGTTGCCCCATCAATTCCACCATGTCCCCTTTTCAAACCTTACTAAAGATCTTTCTACTCTTAAGAGCCTTTATGTTTAATGAAATGAGTTGAGTTCTATTTTTACTATCATATCTAAGAGTATTTTAATAAAGAAATAAGATTTGGTTTATTGGAATTTTGATAGTAATGCATAAGGAATTCATTTGGAGGTTACACATTTCATCTTGTCTTAGACCTTATCACAATGAATATTTTTCATCACGAGATCTCTCTGGTATTGAACTATAAGAAAAAAAGTGAAATGTAAGTGAAGAAAAAGTACCAGCCTGGGACTTCAAAAGGCTGTAGAATGAAATTTCAGTCCTCTAAAATTAGAAGGATGTTTCAGTTTTCAATCTTTTATTTTAAATTTTGTTGTATATAATCATATATATAATTATTATTGATTCTGTATATATCAATATGCATATAGAATAAATTAATATTATATTAATTATATATAATATAGTCTAGATTTAATTATGTATAATTAAAATGGTGAGTAGAAGGTGACTAGATACATTTTCACATATAGTCACGTATTGTAAGCCATTTACAGAGGCTTCAAATTCCAATGCACATGTAACTTTTCAAAGGTCAATGCATGTTGAAAGGTACATTGAATGTTTTAATAATAAAATTCCCATACGACAATACTCTTTTGTCATTACTTCACAAAGATGAACTTCTAGGAGCTAGTATATAGATTATTTGCAAAATTAAAATATAAACAGATAATTCTCTATTTTTATTTGGTGGCAGTCAGATAATCTAAGCCTAAAGTGCTAAATAGAATTCTGCAACTCTGGCATTAGTTGCAAGTATTTATGCTCTATAAAGCTAATAAGATTTTTAATCATATGGCATTTCTGTGTGACTTGGGTTTTAATTAGACTGCAATATTAAAATATCACTGAGTAATAAAACTGCAAAAGAAATTATTTGCCTTCTTTGATAATTTACAGAATATTTATTATTGCAAAATATTCCCTTTTAGTCAAGCTTAATTGAGAAATAAAGTAGGATAATGGAGAATCCACAGAAACCTGTAGAGTTCTACAGTTCATAAAATTATAGCATGAAAAACAATCCGATTTAAAATCTGCTTATTATATGTTTTAAATATCCGCTGACCTTCAAGTTTTTTCCATCTCCAACACTAACATTATAGTTCAATTATCTTATTCATCTTACTTTACTTATCATCCAGACTGATATTTATTTTTTTATTGTCTTTTTCTTTTTCACAAGTCAACCGGAGTGAACATTTTAAAACATAAATATTATCATGACAATCCTTCTTCAGTTCTATTGGCTGTTGCCCATTTTCACACCTATCCAGGGCATGAAAAATGGAGACTGCATTTCCTAGATGACTTTGCCAAAACGGTTCAGAAATTACTTAGATTCTACCCATATGATACAGTCTTACAGGACAAGAGAAGCAGAGCAGTAGAATATATTCTTTAATAGCAGAGGCAATGGACAAATGGACTTGAGCATGCATGAAATTTTACAGTGATTAACCTGACTTTATTTCCCTCTTCGAGGGCCATAGAGTAGAGATGACAATTGTGGTGGCTTTCTCAACTTTACCAACCTTTATGTTTTATAGCAGCTTTTTTTTAAAACCTCTGTAGCACAGACTGAGAAGGGCACCTGAAAGATAATGATGGCCCTTTCTGGAGTTTGCTCTTTTAGTTCTTCCAAACAGATTTGTTAGTGATTACTTCCCTGTATAAAATAGTTTTTGTTTGACATAGACTGTTTTCTAGTTTCCTGACTTAATGCTGCCTCATACTCACGCCTTAAAATTGTCAGTGGCTTTCTTTTTTTTTCTTTTTTTTTTTTTTTGAGATGGAGTCTCGCTCTATCACCAGGCTGGAGTGTAGTGGCGTGATCTCAGCTCACTGCAACCTCCACCTCCTGGGTTCAAGCTATTCTCCTGCCTCAGCCTCCTGAGTAGCTGGGGTTACAGGTGCCCACTACTACGCCCAGCTAATTTTTGGTATTTTTGGTAGAGACAGGGGTTTCACCATGTTGCTCAGGCTGGTCTCGAACTCCTGACCTCAGGTGACCCACCTGCCTCAGCCTCCCAAAGTGCTGGGATTACAGGCATGAGCCACCGTGCCCGGCCCCTTCAGTGGCTTTCTATTGCTTTATGGATGAAGCACAAAATACTCTACAAGGTTCTGGTCCAGCCTTTTCTAGAACCAGTCATCTGGAATTCTACAACTTCTGAAGTCTTCAAAAAGGCTCTGAACTCATTTGCAGTTTTCTGACATCAGGTATTGATCAGCATCCCTAACCCTGCCAGCACAGAAATAAATCACTACTTTCTAAAGTCTTCACTTCTAGCTCACACTTTAAAAACACTTCTAATAATGTTGCCAGAATTTTCTTCTTAATATTTCCCTGCTGAGAACATGTGATTATTCCCTAATGTCTACTAAAGAAGGTACAAAGTTGATCTTTGAAGTCAAATCACTGCTCTACATTATCCATATATGTATATATGAACAAAATCAGGATGCTGGTTGCTTTCACCTAACAGTACTCTTACAAACTGTTTTCTCTCTGAGACACATCTTCTGCTCCAAGCCTACTCCAATTTCCATCTGTCAAAATCTTATCCCTGGCTCAAGAGGCTTATCAAAAGTGATTTAAACATTTCTAATGCTCCCAACAAGATGTATGTTACCATTGATATAGTTACACAGACAATTTGGCTTATCAGTATTGTGATCTTTGTATTGATGTTCCTGACTTTACTATTTTTATCAAAAAACCAGTACAAGGGAGGCTATTATCAGTTATCCTGAAAAAATACTCAGATGCTATGACTAGGGCAATAAATCAACAATCTAATGTTTTTAATTAAGATGTAAAATAACTTAGGTAATCAAATATTTTCAAGACTGTAAGATATAAAAGATTGGTGGACAGAAGGCATGCCAGTCTTGCAAGCATATCAGGATATTCTTTATGATATATTAGGATTCAATATTTTCATTTATAAGTATCTTAATTCTCACCAAGAAAAAGTATATGAAATGTGATAAGTTGAGGGAGCTGCAGAGTACCAGTCTTAAGTAAAACCCATTGTTATATCAATGAACTGCCTAGCATAATGTTTTGCATAAAATACTAATATCTGTATATTGAATTATAAAAGTTTTCAAATTATATGACATTGTTTTATTCTGAAAACAGCTGTATAAGCTATACATTATTATACACTTATATTTCAGAAAAAAAACACCTAATCTCCGAAGTGTCTAAATGACTCATCCAAGGCCAGGCATCATTGGAGATTCTTCTCATTTATATTTGGTCTACAATATAGTATTATAAATTGGTTGACTAATTGAATTTAATCATAATTAAATAAAGAATTATAAAATGGAAAAATTTTCTTTATTTCCTTTATACTTGTTTTTTCGTTGGTGGTATGGTTTGGATCTGTGTTCCCAGCCAAATCTCATGATCAATTGCAATCCCCAGTGTTGGATGTGGGGCATTGATATGGTTTGGCTGTGTCCCCACCCAAGTCTCATCTTGAATTCCCATGTGTTGTGGGAGGGACCTGGTGGGAGGTAATTGAATCATGGGGCAAGTCTTTCCTGTGCTGATATCATGACAGTGAATAAGTCTCACAAGGTCTGATGGTTTTAAAAGGAGGAATTCCCCTGCACAAGCTCCTCTCTGCCTACTGTCATTCATGTAATATGTGGCTTGCTCCTCCTGGCCTTCTGCCATGCTCATGAGGCTTCCCAGCCATGTGGAACTGTAAGTCCAATTAAACCTCTTTCTTTGTAAATTACCCAGTCTTGGGTATGTCTTTATCAACAGTGTGAAAATGAACTGATACAGTCAATTGGTACCAGTAGAGTCAGGTGCTGCTGAAAAGATACCCAAAAATGTGGAAGTGACTTTGGAACTGGGTAATAGGCAGAAGTTGGAACAGTTTGGAGGCCTAGAAGAGGGCAGGAAAATGTGGGAAAGTTTGGAACTTCCTAGAGACTTGTTGAATGACTTTGACCAAAAGCCTGATACTGATATAAATAATAAGGTCCAGGCCAGGTGGTCTCAGAAGTTGATGAGGAACTTGTTGGGAACTGGAGCAAAGGTGACTCTTGTTATGTTTAGCAAAGAGACTGGTGACATTTTACCCTTGCCCTAGAGATTTGTGGAACTTTGAACTAGAGAGAGATGATTTAGCGTATTTGGTGGAAGAAATTTCTAAGCAGCAAAGCATTCAAAATGTAACTTGGGTGCTGTTAAAGGCATTCAGTTTTATTAGGAAAGCAGAGTATAAAAGTTCAGAAAATTTGCAGCCTGACAATGCGATAGAAAAGAAAAATCAATTTTCTGAGGAGAAATGCAAGCCTGCAGAAATCTGCATAATTAATAAGGAGTCAAATATTAATCCCCAAGACAATGGGGAAAATGGCTCCAGGGCATGTCAGAGGTCTTCACAGCAGCCCCTCTGATCACAGGCCCAGAGGCCTAGGAGGAAAAAGTGGTTTCCTGGGCCAAGCCCAGGGTGCCCATGCTGTCTGCAGCTTAGGGGCTTGGTGCCGTAGGTTGCAGCCACTCCAGCCATGGATGAAAGGGGCCAATGTAGAGCTTGGGCCGTGGCTTCAGATGCTGCAAGTCTCAAGCCTTGGCAGTTTCCATGTGGTGTTGAGCCTGCGGGTACACAGAAGTCAAGAATTAAGATTTGTGAATCTCTGCCTAGATTTCAGAGGATGTATGGAAATGCCTGAATGTCCAGGCAGAAGTCTTTGGCAGGGTTGGGGCTCTCATGGAGAAACTCTGCTAGGGCAGACCAGAAGGGAAATGTGGGAAGGAGCCCCTACACACAGTCTCTAATGGGGCACTGCCTGGTGGAGCTGTGAGAAGAAGGCCACCATCCTCCAGACCCCAGCATGGTAGATCCACTGACAGTTTGCACTGTGCACCTGAAAAAGCCGTAGACATTCAACGCCAGCCTGTGAAAGCAGCCAAGTGAGAGGCTGTACCCTGAAAAGCCACAGGGGTGATACCCACTTCTTTCATCAGAGTGACCTGGATGTGAGACATGGAGTCAAAGGAGATCATTTTGGAGCTTTAAGATTTAACTGGCCCACTGGATTTTGGACTTCCATGGTGCCTGTAACCCTTTTGTTTTGGCAAGATCCTCCCACTTGAAATAGCTGTTTTTACCCAATGCCTGTACCTCCATTGTATCTAGGAAGTAAATGGTTTTGATTTTACAGGCTCATAGGAGGAAGGGACTTGCCTTGTCTTGAATGAGACTTTGGACTGTGGACTTTTGAGTTAATGCTGAAATGAGTTAAGATTTTGGGCGACTGTTGGAAAGGCATGATTAGTTTTGAAATGTGAGGACATGACATTTGGGAGGTTTCAGGGGCAGAATGATGTGGTTTAGCTGTGCCCCTACCCAAATCTCATTGGAATTCCCATGTGTTGTGGGAGGGATCTGGTGGGAGGTAATTGAATCATAAGGCAAGTCTTTTCTGTGCTGTTACTCTGACAGCAAATAAGTGTCATGAAATCTGATGGTTTTAAAAAGAAGAATTCCCTTTTGCCTGCTGCCATCCATGTAAGATGTGACTTGCTCCTCCTTGCATTTGGCCATGACTGTGAGGCTTCCCCAGCCATGTGGAACTGTAAGTCCAATTAAACCTCCTTCTCTTGTAAATTGCCCAGTCTTGGGTATGTCTTTATTAGCAGCATGAAAACGACTGATACAGGCCTGATGGGAGGTGAATGGATCATAGAGTTCTCATGAATGGTTTAGCACCATCCCCCTTAGTACCGTATACTGAGTTCTCATGATATCCTGTTGTTTAAAACTTTGTAACATCTCCCTCATCTCTCTCTTCCTCCTGTTACAGCCATGTGAAGTGCCTCACTCCCTGTTCACCTTCCACCATGATTTTAAGTTCTGTGAGGCCTCCCTAGAAGCTGATGCCACCATGTTTCCTGTACAACCTGCAGAATGGTGAGTAAATTAAACCTCTTTCCTTATAAATTAGCCAGTCTCATGTATTTCTTTATAGCAAACAGAGAATGGACTAATAATACTAATATAATGGTAATAGAGTAATTCAGGTGGTCCAATTCCTATGAAGATGTACCATAGGGGAGTGTCGGATTGTGATCCAAATACATGAAGTTCTATCAGCAATAACCCTCTGTTCCTCATTTTTAAAGGGAAATAGTTGATATTCAAACAGATTCAGCCACAAAGCCTTTTAAGGGTGAAAAAAAATCTATTTTTATTTTGACTACTAAGAAAATAATGAGGCTAAGCTCATTAAAATCTCAGTAATGGAATCAAACCCTAGTTGTTCTATATAATCAAACTACATAAACCAAATGAAGTAATTTTATATAAATAATAAGTAAATAAACCACGTACTAAATAAGCTCCATATTCTTGAAATTTTCCTACAGTTTTAAAATGACACTTTAATTGAATATTTTTGGTTTTGTAGTTGACCACAGTCAACCAGTGAGGTGGCTGTTTTATTATGCTTTGCTTCTGGCTGAGTGTGAAAGGAAAGGGAGGTTTGTAGGGAAGGTGGCTTTTATTTCTATATAGATGTTGGCAAAAATAGAAAGCAGAGGACTGAAAATTACTAGTTAGGTACTGTACATCCTGTTTGTGAAAAAGGTCCCTTTTTCACATGAATGCCAATGAGAATTCTCTTTATCCTTAAATTTTCTAACACATAGTCTCAGTATATTTTGACATTCATTCTAACAAAAGAAATGTTAAAATTATGAGTTTTTATATAAAATCCTTCTGTGTACTGACTGGTCCCTCTAAATGTGTTTTGTTTTGCTGATATTATAGTTATTCATATTGAGCACCCAGTCCTGCTTCAGTTTATATTACTTCTTTATTTGGGGCTGCAAGAGTCATTTAAAAGAAATAGTGATTTGTTTCTTTTGCCTGACAGTCATCAATATTTTAGGTGACTATAACTCCATTTTTGCCACATAAATTTCTTCATAAAATGTTCTTTGTTTTGCTGTGATATCTCATTGTTCTATGATAAAAGTAGGCTTTTATGCTATACAGTTGTATAATATGGCAAATTCTCCACAATAGTAAAAGGTATTTAGAATATGACTTATGGAATAGCCTTATCTTAAAGAACTAGCCTTGTTAAGCTTTGCAGGGTATATAGAGTGATGTCTGTATTCTCAGTTATTTAAGAGTAGTTGGTCAAAAAGTGACTGTATAGTGATGCAAAATGATGATAGAGCATCCATAGCTGTTTCATGCATTGCATAGGAGGGTACGTAAATTTATTTGAAAAGTAAAATGTACCTTAATACCTATGTAGGTAGCAGAACAGCCATAACATTTTGTAAAATGTACATAAAACTTGAAGCATTATTTTTAAAAAGCCATCAGTGATTATGTTTTACTATGTTTTATTTCTCTACAGACATGGAAATTAGTGCTTGCTTCCCAGAGTAATCTTCAAATTAAATATAGTCTTAAACTAAACAGACACCCAATTCTTGAAATACACACACACACACACACACACACACACACACACACACACACACACGAGGCATGCACCCCACACTATACAACAAATACTGGGCTCATTCCTAGGAAAAAAAGCCACCTTCTTTCTGAAAGTCCTCATTTGGTTCAATCAAAAATGAAGTAAGCATATGCATTTCTATGAGTATTGTCTATTAGGAAAAAAAATTGTCTTCAAAAACGTAAAAATATAGTTTTCTCAAAAGTATTTTCTGAATATATTGAATTATAAAGTGTCAAATACTGAAACAAGGGGAATAAATGGTATCAAGTGCCCAAATTTAGGGAGAAGACATTCCTTAAAAACTTAACAACAGAATCATTTTTACAAAACCCAGTCAATGCCCCAGACTCCCTCTCCCTAGTGAACACAACTAGAAAAACAGGAAGGATGATCACTGGATTCATGAGGGGAAAACCACAACTTTTTCCTCCTACATTAAAAGAGGAGGACTTATTCTTCCCTAAAAATACAACTCAGTATGTCTCAAAAATATTCAATGAAATGGAGATGTCTAAAACTAAGAGGGATAAATACTTCACTTCCCTTTGGCTATGTGCTTGTTCCATAATCTGTGACCTATTTATTTTGTCTCCGTGACTAAAGGTTAAAGAGGGTGGGAGAGAGCCAGCAGGGCAGAGAGAAGTGGCAGCATGAAGCCGTCTGCATGCCCATGATTTGGCACGGGAAGGATTGTTAGTCCCCCACGGGTTAAGTGGCAATGAAAACTAGCTGGGCATGAGATGTCTTGCTGGTAGGCTGCCCAAGAGCACCAAACAACAATAGATTGTGTGTTGGGCTGCCAAACGCAGGATCTGGGAAAGGGAAAAGAATTTGAGCTAGAATGAATTTCCACATTAAGTGGTAGTGCTGTGAGGAAGCTATTTACAGTTTGCCCTGAAATAACTCATACCTGGCCCTACAAGGGAGCTGGCATTTGGGCACTTGCCACGCACAAGGCATTGAGGGGCAGCCAGACTGGATGTGAATACACTAAATCTACACCACCTACATGATATTCACATGTCCTTTGTATATCTCCTATCCCTCCTACTCTCTCTGAACCCTGGCACTACAAATTTATTTCTTTTACGTACTGAATTTCAATGTAAGCTTTCATTTAGAGAAAGGGTGCCACATATAAGTATTTTTTCAAATATAATAAAAATTGTAGAATTAATTTTCTATAAGCAACCAGGTTCAAAATTCTACAACTTCATGCAGTTAGACATCACACAGAGCAGGGGGAGATGCGTCAGTATTCAACAAGTTATACAGGAGGTTTACTTGTTAAAAGGGGAGACTCACCTCTAATTTTCTCACTGGAAGTCACCTTAACATTTGGGCTTACTGCCTTGTACTATCATACACTATGAAGGTTTTTGTATGTGTATGTATACATACATAGACACAAATATGTATATGTGCCATATATACACAATATTATACAAATGTGTAATTATGTTGAATTATTTTTCAGAGAAGAGATAAAATAGCGAAAATACTAGTTTTACTTTTTCTTTACAAAACTTATTTTTTAAACTTTCGGTTAACGTTTTAATTGATGATGTCAGCTACAAAAAGTAACTGGCTCTATTGTAAGATATGCAAGCCTTATAGACATTATAGAGACTTCTGAAATAAAAGCTTTTTTAAGTTAATAAATATTCATTGGCCATGTCTTAGCCATGTCATAACCCTTTACATTTCAGTTACAACACTAACTAGATAAAATCTGATAAATATAACTATGATTAATTATCCAGATATTTTAATATAAAGCTTTATCTTATACAAAGGAAACAATACATTTTGAGAAATGTATACAAAGGGACATACTTCTGTGTAGATATATTTTTATTCTTCTAAGCATATGTGTAGTATTTGGAAAATGTAAAACCTTGTATCTTCTGTGTCTTCAATATGGATGTAGAAGAAAGAAAAATTTACCTTTACTCTACACTATCTATTGTCCTAAATGATCTTGAATAATTAAGTTCAGTTTTGAGGTTTTATTACTATACTGTTATTTATTTACTGATTTTCTGATATTTTTAACACTGTTTTGATATTTAAGATATTTTACATCTTTATTTTGTCTGAAAGTATAACATGTCTGGGATATAATATATAATAGAATATTAGTAACTTTAATAAAATGACCACAAATTTGAGAAAATCATATCATAATTCCTTGGTATTAGAACACATTGCTTATTGTTGAAGCTTCATGAATCTCAAATACCTATCTCAATAGTTCATATTTATAATTTTCAAGATAATTTGATACTTTTTAAGGTATACTAATGGGATTGCAAATTTTCATGATTAAAGATAAAAGTAAAAAAGCCTCATCTTTCTAAACCCATTTTTATAGGTCCTAAGGATACATACACACACATATATATAAATATATATAGTATATACCATATATTAAATAGATAAGTATATATGTGGTATATAAATATATTTGCTGTGTGTGTATACTATATATAGTAGTCAGTCTTGGATTAAGATCACTCAATTTCTACATAAATATTACAATTGTATTATGTGGAATATGCTGCCAAATTAGATTCTAGTGAAATGTAAAATAAGTTGACACTAGAGGAAATGTGCAAAAAATAGCGAAAATATATGCATTGTTTTCCTATAAAATTTATGGATTTCCATTGCAAATTATTATCTCACAAATGCATTATAATTACATGTATCCATAAGTAGACTTGCAATTGACATAGAAAAATTCCATATATGGAGTGGTATTTACTGAAGCAAATGGTATGATATCAGGAATTAATTGGTAAAAATCAAACAGCAAGAAGGAGAGGCTGAGTGCAGAGTGAAGTTTATTAACAAGCTTAATTAAGATGTCAAGCATGAAATTAGTGGAATAGAGGGTGTGTTTGGGGAACCAACAGAGGTTAGACTTGGTGAGTAGAATGGGAAAGTGAGCACATAAGTAGGGACAGATATTCATCCTAAACTTACACAAAGGTGTCTATATTCATAGAGATAAAGAATATGAAAATTCACAGTTTGAGTAGTGACATAACACATGCCATTTAAAATTAATTGTTTGGCTTTTAAAGAACATGTCACAAACATATTGTTGTCATATTCGTGCATCTTATTTGAGTTCTTTTTACTTTCATATGGTATTATAGGAAGATGCCAAACATTTGTTGATACAGTTACTTTAAAAGTGCCCAGAAATACACAGGGATGCTTTGAGAGAGAAAATGTTCCAACTACATAGAGATATAAATTCCATCTTCAAAATAGCAATAAAAATATCTGATTTTTTACAGTAAAGAAATACTTTATAAATGAATGTGTGTATTATCCAAAGAGCTTCTAACTTTTTGGTGCACAAATTACTGTAGCTAACTTTATTATTGGCTATATGTAAACTATTTTTAAATTAAAATCTGAGGTTTCAGTGGTCATATGAATTTGAATTTTTTCAAATATCTTTCTCAAAATTTGTAAAATCAAGAAGGAACGTAAATGAAATCATACATGTTTCACATTTTCAGCGTTAATAAAAAAGAAAAAAACTCATAAACTTTAAATTACATGTAAATAGAGTAATGCTTCAATTCTGAAAATGCTAGGGCTAGGACTAGGTAGAAGTGAATGAGACACTACTCTTGAGGTGAAATTTAGGTATGCCCCAGAACCTTAGTAATCAAGATAAATAGGCTGGGCATGGTGGCTCATGCCTGTAATCCCAGCACTTTGGGAGGCCGAGGCGGGGGGATCACCTGAGATCGGGAGTTTGAGACCAGCCTAGCTAACATGGTGGAACCCCGTCTCTACTAAAAACACAAAAATTAGTGGGACGTGGTGGCGTAAGCCTGTAATTCCAGCTACTTAGGAGGCTGAGGCAGGAGAATTGTTTGAACCCCCCAAAAAAAAGAAAAAAAAAGATAAATAATAACAATGCAATGATTTAAAATCAAAATTAATGCAAAGAATTCATGATTAACAGAATATTGAATTTTAAATAAAGACAGGCTCCCTTAGTTCTCACAGTGCCAGGATGAAGGTGAGGTGGCTGAGGTGAGTTGTACCAGTGCAGGATTAGATCCTGTCTTTATTTAATTATAAAAGCTTGGAGCCCCTTGGTGATGTGTAGTGAAGGGAAAGAAGGGAAGAACAGAATAAAAGTAAACGTCCTGCAAAATAAAAAATACACTAAAATCTTTCCTTATCCCAGACCACTGTCACGAAACATCATCCATTAAATAGCTTCATGTTATTATACTGACAAAAGACAATCTTGAACCAATAAACTTTTCAACAAAATGCACCAATACCACAGAAAGCTACCGTATGAAGAAAAAAGAAAATATAAATCATAGCAGTTTGGCAAACAAAATTTCTCCCAAAGGAACCTAACATGAAGCATACTGAAACAGAACATGCTAATCTGAACTAAATATATTCTAATGAGGATTTAGATATTTTAAATAGACACCTAAAACCAGAAATGCAAATAAAAAGAGAAATGAATTAAGAAATTAAATTCAACAAGAGTTGATAGAATTTAGGGAAAAAAATGCAGAAAAAGACTAAATCATCTGAGAAATGTAGAATAAATTACAAGATTTCAATGATAATGTAAAAAAGGGGAACAGAAAAAATAAGCATTAAAAAAGACAAAAAATGAGGAAAAAAGTAAAAAGAGTCTGAAAGAAAGTAATTAAAATGAAGACAGACACAGAAGGTCTAACATTCATATAATGGAAGTAAAAATAAAACAGAATTAATGTTTAACAGTAGAATCCAAGAAAATTTTCTATAAAGAAGAAATAAATCTACATATTAGCAAAGTTCACTGTTAATCTGGGTGCACTGAACTGGAATGATCAACTTGAAACATATTCGAAGAACAAGAATTGGTGTACAGATATACAATAAAATCCTTGGTGACTCCAAGCAAAACAACTTATTTATTCATTTATAAGGTAAAAGAACACTTGAACACAGAGGAGAACAACACATATGGGGGCTATTGGAGGGAGGAGGGTGAGAGGAGAAGGAGGATGAGAAAAAATAACTAATTGATACTAGGCTTAATACTTGGGTGATGAAGTAATTGATACAACAAACCCCCATGATACATGTTTAACTATGTAATACATCTGCACATCCTGCATATGTACCCCTGAACTTAAAAGAAAAGTTAAAACACCCCAAAACACCCACTGTAATTCTAATCCAAGTAGCCACTATAGTAACTACCATTGTCTAAGAATTTCAAAGGCTTTTGTTGATTAATTAATGAGTATACCCTATTCTCAATGAATATGAGATGACAATTTGGTAACATAACTAACTGCACACACATACACAGACCTACACGTATATTATACATACGAATGTATCTGAGGTGATTGCATTTACTAGAGTGGCTACCTGGATTAGGATTACTTTCAGCTTTGCTGATGAAAGAATTCAAGAGTATTGTTTGGTTACCCTGTAACTGTAATATCATTACTGCAGAAACTCCCTGAGATATACTCAAGGATTTACACACAGGGATGTATACTGCTGCACCATTCCCAATCAGAAAAGAGAGAAAAATTAATATTTTGGAATGCTGAAATAGTTTAGAAAACTAGAATTTATTAAACCATGAAAACAAACTACATCTGTATATATTGATATGACTAGATTTGCTTTATATCTTATGTAGTAAGATAATTCCTAATTTTTCCTGGTATTTTTATTATGGGCAGGCATAGAAACAAAAATAATTATCTCTACAGAAAGTATAAAATTAAACTTAAAAATGCATTGATCAGGTGAGTAATCTGTGTGGCTTTACTACTAAATTATTAATTTACAATGATGGGTATTATTAAATTGAGCAATATATGAAGCCCTGAATTAAATAGCATATATATTCTCACTCTATGCAGAACTACCTAATAAATCACTTTAGAATGAATCAAATTGACTTATTTTATACTTATAAATTTTAATGGCATGTAGTCTAACCCATTCATTTTCATTGGAAGAAAATAGTAAATTTAAAGTTTCATTAAACAAGACCTGATGTTTTTCCAGATAATAGTTGAGTATGCATTCCCAAAATGTCACAAAGATTTTATTTAATAACCCTTCAACTCAATAAGAAAAATATAAAGTGTCTAATTAAAATGGTTCAAGAAAAAATAAAGCTGGTTTTGCATCATATTTCTCACGATCAACATGCTAAGAAGTTGAAAGCTGAATAGTATTTACAAAAAACTTAATGAAAGGAACTGTAAGTTAAATATTTGATTTGCAATCCAGGTATTGTTCAAATACAATGCTATTAAAAAACCTTTTTAGAAACAACTAAGGAGCTATGGTATACATGTATTATTTCTGAGGAATGTACAAAACAATGAGCTACACCCTTCCAAGAAATGACTGGGGTGAATGATAAACTTTTGATATTTATCGAAGTGTAGAACTAAGACTAAAATAAAGTTGAAGATTTACATGAAAGGATGCTCTCTAAGTGTTATGTATTCTCAGAAGGAATAATGTAACAAACAGCAAAATTTTTTAAAGCATAAGTACAAAGATAACTTCTAGGAAAAAATGCAAAGAAGATATACCCAATAGTAAAGGAAAAACAATAAACAGAATATAACCCACATACTATTGGAAACATGAGAATTTGAAGATTAAAAAGAAAAACTATATGAATATTTTCAGATAACATGATATTCATGATATCACTAGGAAAACCCCTAAACAATAATTATGTTTTAGAAAATCAAATGAAATAATAAAGCAACAAAATATAAAATTGACATGCAAAAAAATCACTAGCCTTCATAAACAGTCAGAAACTATAATAGAAAAACATTATTTAAAAAATCAACAGAAATATAAAATGATTAGTAATAATCTTAACAAGAACTGGTCAAAACCAATATAAAGACTATGAAACATTTCTTGAAAGCACAAAAGTAGACTGAATGTATCGACAGACATCTTTTATTTTTGGATATGGCATATTAACATTATTAACATTTCAAATCTCTCCAAATTAATTTATGAATTAATACAATCTAACTAATAAAACCAAAAAGCTTCCTTATGAAATTAGAAAGGTGGATAGTACCAGTTATATGGAAAAAAAAACATAAAAATCCTAAGGAAATAGAAAAAGAAAAGTTACATGGTGGCATAATATTAATATAGATATTTAAACATACTACAAATTATTTGTAACTCATGATTTCTAATATCATATATATATACACATAATTCTAATTTCTCCTGTGTACAGAGAAAAGCAAAATGTTAAAGTAAAATGAAGGAAAACAAGACTCTAAATATGTATTGTCTCATTTCTGACATTAACTAGTTCTTTAAGTAGGAGTAAGTCACTGATTTCTCAGAGCCTTACTTAGTTATCTGTAAGATTATGTCACAAATCTTCCAAGAATACATGGGAATTCCAATGCAATAAAATGTAAAGGTGACCTTTTTGTAGTGACATAACACCATACTGACATAAAATAAAGAGATTAAATCAAATGGAGAATGTAGTCTTTTAGAACTTTCTCCACAGCTTGTCAGCTCTGGCCACACTCCCCTCTTTCTAAGAACCTGAGATGTGGGCAATCATAAATCAGAGACAATGCAAGATAATGTTGCACCAGTGAAGCCTACCATGACTATGATACCAGAACAGTTTAGTGTGCAAAACCCTACCATTCTCAAAAGGGTACAGAATGGTGAATAAAACAACCCTGGGAAAAGTTATTTCCAGTTTCAAAATTACATTGTTAAATTCCTTGCCTGTTGTCCTACTGTTATGGGCTGAATATTTGTGTTCCCTTTCCTGCTACCTTAAAATGTTGAAGCCCTAACCCCCAATGTGATGATATTTGGAGGTGGGGCCTTTGGGAGGTGATTAGATTTAGAAGGGAACACGAGAGTGGGGTCCTCATGATAGAATTAGTGCCCTTATAAGAAAAGACCAGAAACCTTGTCTTTTCTTATAAGGGCACTTATAAGATGCCCTTATAAGAAAAGGCATTGGATAACTTGTTTCAAAAGGCAAATCACATAAATAAAAATATAATTCTATCTCTATTACTAATTTTTAACCAATAGCTTTTTTTTAAAAAAAATCCTTTTTTTATATTCCAGAAGATACAACTGAAAATATATCTTTCATTATGTAAGTCAAAAATAATGATATATCTTGGCCAACTAATGGCACTTAGAAAATTTCAGCATTTATTAAGTCAAAAGTTTTTTGTGGATAAGTTAAATTGATTCTTTTTGAAGTGTTAATATTTAGCTGAGCCGAAAATTATAACATACTGATATATTTCTTCCTTGACAAAATAAATTGTGCTAATGTTCCAGAAATCATCCATATGCTATTGCTCTGGCTCTCCTGTGGCTTTGAGATGAATTCTCACCCAGTATTTTAGCAAACTGTCTTTTCAGTACTGCATTAAATTAATCACATGAGAAATCTTGTAATAACTATGGTAGTCATATCCCCTTCATGTGTAGGAAGTGTGATTCCACTTTATTATCACAATTCGTCTAACCCTGAGGTGTAGTTTTCTTTATTTTTTAAAATAACTTCTTTCTACTGGAGATACCAACTACAGTTAAAATTGAGACAGGAGTGTGTTTTAGTGGAAGTAAAGATAAGAGTGAGTGTGAGTGTGTGTGTGTCTGTGGGGGAGGGCATCTCTTTTGTAGAGTCGATACATTGCATGAGAATACATAATATTTTTATATATTTAGAATGATAAATCATTCTAAATTTTCTTGGTCATAACCTCTTGACAAATTTAAAAGTGGATCCAGGCCAGGTGCAGTGACCATTGCCTGTAATTCTTGTACTTTGGGAGGCCAAGGCTAGAGGATTATTTGAGACCAGGATTTCAAGGCTGCAGTGAGCTGTGATCACACCACTGCACTCCAGGCTGGGCAACACAGTGAGATCTTGTCTCTATAAAAGAAAAAAAAAATGGGGGAAATAAACATTTATTTCATGATATCCAATTTCAATAAGCTAAAAATATTTGATTACATAATGATGGTTATTATATTGTAATGGAAATTCATTTTCATAACTTGAAATGTCTTTTAAAATATTTGCATTTGACTATGGAGTGATTTAGAGAATTTCCCTGACATTTAGTATTCTATTTCTTTTTTATTCTCAAGTTCAGAAATAAGTTTCTTATTATACCAAATGCATAGCCATGCAGGAGAGGAGAGGCTTGTTTCCTAGTGATAGTACACCACTGAATCTTTGGGACAAGAATCCTCATAAGAATAGGACCAATTAATGGCACTGGCATGGGGCTGAAAGAGGGTATTAAGAGAAAATCTTCATACTATAATATAGGGCCACAAGAGCTCTTCCCCACCTTGATCTCTGAAAATTAGGTAAAATCAGCCTTTTCCCAGGGAGTGGACTGTATCCAATAACTGATTTAGAGATCAAAGCGTCTAGTTTACTTACCCCCAAATCAACATGAATCTGAAGGCAATCTCAGTCTCCAGGTTTAGACTACTAGCAGCCAACCCAAGGACTATCAGAAAGACAGAGGGACTGTCTGGACGGTTTCAAAGGTATTCTGCTGCACTGCAGTCACAGCACAGTTTGAGCTGAAAATTAGTCCAGATTTTTTTTGTTTTATGATCTCCTTAACAAGGTATTCTGAATCCAATAGCATAAAAGTATTTTTCTACATTTTAATTTTTTTCTAGAAGGCTTATTGGTTTACCTATTACATTTAGGTCTATGGTCCATTTAAAATTAAGGTGGTAAGAGATAAGAATCCTGGTTCAATTTTGCCCGTATGGATGTAGGATTTGACGAGTACCATTTATAGAAGACATCGTTGGATTTCTACCGCATTACACAATGTTTTATTTGCGTTGTGTTACAAAATGGTAATCACATCTATAAGCCAGATATTATAGGGTTTTTTTTAATTCAAATAAGCAAGCTGTGGCTCATGGCAGTGAAAAAGGCATGTTAACAGCAAGTAGATAAGAAATCACTCAAACTTATTTTGGGTGCCAAATCCACACTCTTCCTACCTTGATTGATTTCTGTGATACTTCTTGAGTCACCTCAAAAATATAAATATATTGTTAAGTAACTAAATTACTGAACATGGCGTAGATAAAAGGGAATTTTTTAGATTATACAAAAATAAAAAGATAATGTCTTTAGCTAGCCTGTTTCTGCTGCAGAATGGGAGGATGTGACAGAATGGTGCCTGTCAGGTGTGTGTGTGTGTGTGTGTGTGTGTGTGTGTGTGTGAATGTGTCTTAGAGGATAATGGGAATAAGCATTCAAGACACAGTGGGAAAGTTCTCTTGAGATTAAGATACATCTTGTGATGAATTGTCAATAAGGATAGGAATTTGCAACACAATTTTCACTGCAGCATACTCAGAAAAGTAAAGTCTAGTTAATTCATCATTCCATAATCTAGCCATGGTGTAGTAAAAACTAGAACAGTTTTTTTAATGTGGCGTTTAATGGAAATTACAGAAATACTGGTTAAAAATACTTGAACACATTGATAATCAACATTCACTGTACATATTTTACTAACCAATACAATGTTAATAATAACAATTATTTTTTAGAATAGGCCTATCACTTCAATTCATGTTGTTCTCATGCCACTTTCAGATCCTCCTCTACCCAGAGTGAGTCAGGAATCATCTACTCAGATTCCTCAGGCATTGCTCATCCTCATCCTTGGCCCACTTTTTTCTTATTTTTAGAAACCAACGTTTTCTCTGACCTCCTTAGTGCGTGAAGACTTCATATTTTTAATTGAACTTAATCTTTTCACAATTCAATTGAAGAATCAGTTTTTAATTTACTGATTTTTATATTTTTTATTTCCTACATTCTTCGTAACTTGTAGGGCTCCTGTTTGATGTATTAATCCCAAGAACCACGTTATCAGTTTGTGTGGCACAGTAGCCATCTTTCTAATTGAGAATCTGATTCTGTATCTAGCGCCTTTGGCAATATCAGCGTTTTTCTCTGCTGTAATAATCAGAGGTAATATTCCACTCCCTCCCAGAAAGAACCCCTTTTGACTAGACTCTAAGCTGTAAATGTGTTCCCTGTTGTACAACTCATCAGCACTTTCTGTGTAACACTTTATTTGTTATGAGACTCAGGTATATATTTGACTTTAATTAATGTTTATTGGCCAGTAGATCGGTTTTAAAATTTATAAGATGCACGCATTATTTTAACTTCTTCTTATGTTATCAAATTTCCCATCTCAATAGTAGTAATAACAGCAACAACAATAAAAAAGTGTTCTTTGTAATGTCTCTGAGTGCAATGGGATAACATATTTCCAAAGCTTTATAATATTAAACCAATGCTCAGGGACAGTTATGATTACATAGTAAGCTCATTTCAATGCTCCAGTTTTTATTGTCACCTTCTCTTATGAACTCTAGGCACTAAAGTAGAGATGATCAGATCGCTAACGGTGTTTTGAAGAAACGGAGCGCAGGCTAGCAGTACTGTGCCTGCCCCATGGGTCTGTACATCCCACACTGAGGTAATAATGGTAACGTTAAGAATAGGAAGCCAAACCGACATTAGTCAGTGAGTAATACCAATGGGAAAAATTAAAGAGAAAAGATCAATCCAAAAGAGACTAAACCTACGCATTCCAAACAAAAGTCCAATTAATGAAGCGCTCACTAGAGATAAAACATGTTCAATAAAAGATAACTACACTTCCTCCTGGTTCTGAAGGAAAGTGCTAATTGCTAATGCAACAACTTGGGGCCAGTGGCTAGATGGAAGTTCCTGAGTAAATGTGCACATGAAGGACACTAAATTACCGCGTTACATTCAGAAAATCATCCAGAGCATATGTTTTGATTTCAAAGTGCTTAGAATGAGGGTTTGGTCTCCTATAAACTCCAGGCAATAGTTAAGATTAACAGAGACAAAGAAAGTATTTAAAGTCATGCTCTTTTGCAGGCCAGGTCACTCGAAATTAGGACCAAAATCTTTGAGGTCAGGTCACTTTCTTCAGTGGGTTAAATTATATTTGGTCTTGATGTGTCACTACAAGCTGAAATTTTAGGTTTGATTTTAGTTCACATTGTCAAAAATGTATCTAGATCCTTCTATACTTAAACATTTTAGCCCAAAATTAAAGACAATTGAAGGAAAATTAAGGAGAAGTAGGATAAAGGAAAGTTGTTTAGCCTGAGATAATCTGAATAAAGTTTGATGCAGATCTACGCATACCTACCGATGTGTAGCAATTTCTCCTTCTAAGAAGCACAAAAGAAAAAGGCATTTTCTGGGAAATAAACTGGTTCAAAAATAACAAGTTACCAAGAAGAATATTTTTTACCAAAAAAAAAAAAAAAAAAAAAAAGACACCTCTATGGAGGAGCATCTGTTGTTCCGTGAGCCGGAACTCTTAACAATGTTCTGGAAGCAGTCACATTTTCAGAATTCATCCAGAAGACATTTTCTTCTTGTGTAACTAGGTATTTAGAAATGTTAGGTGACTTGCTATGAGGGATTATGGCTAATTAGAATGTGGGGGAGGGCAGGGAGAAATCCTACAATTCTCTTTTATTGTGCAACCTCACTTCCAGCTCCATGAAGTCTGAATAATAATACTTATAATGGACCAACTCTGGGGTTCATATAGCTCTGTACCTAGAAGGTATTCTAAAATCCTGAGAAAGAAAATAACAAATAAAGAGAAAAGCAGTAGAACAAATGGCTAGTATCTTACTGTTCACCTTCCTAATTACTTTGATTTGAAGATGGTCCACTAAAGTATTAAGGTGCATGTGGAAATGTGGCTTTGTCTACCTCCAAACTCCCACCAAGTCCTCAGTATAACTGGCAGGCTTTTAGAAATGCAAGTTAACCTTTTCTCCAGAATTTTGGACCAGGAAGTCATTGAGGAGACAAGAGAAATCTAGAAAGGATGATTTAATCTTGTCCTCTTGTGTTACAAATAAGGAAATTTGAGTTCCTTGTAGCATATGTAACCAGGGAAAAGTTATTCACCTAGTTGATGGCCAGACCTACACTAGCATACTGAATTTTTGTGAACATTTTTTTAACTGTGAATCAATAACTCTCAGCTTCTTGTTATTATCAGCTTGTTTATTCTGTCTCTCAATTGTAGCTATCCTCATATATTTTATTCATGACAAACACTTGTTTGGGGCTTTCTACATAGTTGAAAATAATGAAAAATTAGTTCTATCATTAATCAAATTTTATCTTTATCGAAAAGTATAAATGTCAATTTTACCTGGTTGTCCTATTAGTGAAGTGCTCAGGTTTTAGTTTGCTTAAGATTTGGTGCATATATGTACAACATTTGAAATTTAGAACAGTAAGGTTTATAAAGGTCACATGTAGTTTATAAAACCATGTGGAATTTCCTTATGGATATTTTCATATGTCTTGTGTATTTATGCTAATTGGCTCTGGGTAATTTTTATTTATGTGTAGAAATCATGACCTGAATATATGAAATAGCACAATACCTAAAATTCATTGTTTAAACGTGGTTAAGAATATAGATTCTGGAGACTCTTACTTAATAGCTCTTAATGGCTTTGAGATCTTGAATCGGTTCTCTTTATTTCTCAGTTTTCTCATTTGAAAAATGGAAAAAAGTACCTCCTTTATCAGGTTAGTGTAAGTGTTAAAACACTTTATATATGTACTAAACCCTTAAAATTGTGGCAGGCATAATAAACTGCAAAGTTATTCGCTATTGATGTTATTCTTACCATTAATAAGTTTTTAGGGTTTAAGACCAGTATTTCAGACAGGCTATATGTTATATCCTTATATTTCTTTTCTATTTCTCTCCCACTATTAACATATTATTTTGCTATTTTATATTCATATATTTTAAGTAATTTAATGCCCCTTTGGAACACATCAGATTATACCTACAAAAGGAAGTAAGTTAACAAAATACAAAAATAGTAGTCCAGTGCTTAGCATGGTGCCTGGCACATACAAAAGTGACCATGCTCAACTGGCAAGATAAAGATTAAAATATATGGGTGAAAAATAATTTTCTCAACTTCTATGCATCCTAAAAATACATTTAACTATATGAATCCATAAGATGTATAACTACAAGGATAAATTGGCACATTTTTCATTATATTGAAAAATTCTAACACAACTGTCATAGTTAAAAAGTCAAAAGACCAACAAAGGACTAAAACATCATACACAAATTATAAGTATAATTGATAAGCTTGATTTACTAGACATAGGTATAAACACATATACCAATTAAATAACACACTTTTCTTCAGCGTATACAAAACTTTTTCCAAAGTTACATGAACTAAAGTATAGGAGAATTTGTATTATAGAAATGATTGATTATGATCACAATATAATTACATTTTGTATCAATAACAACAACAAAACTGAAGTTTCAATATATTCAGAACTATAAAAATACAATAATATATAGGTCAAATAAGAAGTCATATGACTTCTTTATCATTTTTAATTGAAATATTTTAATTAAAATGTTTTAGCAATACCACAAATGATGACTACCAGCATATTACACTTTGTAATGCAGGTAAATTAGAAATTGAAAAAATATATAGATGTAAATGGCAGAAAAGGATAAAGGGTAAAATTACATTGAGCTAATGAACTGAAGATACATCCAAAAATGTAAAATAATTGAAATGGTTATTATAAAAGCAGAATTTAATGACAGAGAAAGCAAAGAATAAGAAGAAATTATTAATCAGGGCAAAAATAAGGTGATGTGTAAAAGTATAGTACATTTTTTAAACTTCTAATGATAATAATTAAGCAAAAACAGAATACACCAATAAACAAGAGAATGAATTAAATGTGGCATAATATTAAAGAATGAAAAATCCAAAATGTAAGGAAATGCAATAAAATACCTTGTGACAATAACATTTAAAATGTAAACGAATAACTAGACAAATATGATTTTAAGATGAATCTAGAAAAAAACTAGAAAACAAATATTTCATAATCATGAAAGGAATGAACAATAATTTAAAATCTTTTTTTTAACTTTTATTTTAGATTTGGGGGTACATGTGAAGCTGTGTTATATAGGTAAATTCATGTCATGGGGATTTGTTGTACTAGGCTTAATACCTAGGTAATGAAATTCAAATTCTTTACAAAAGAAAACGTTAGCCCCCATTACTTTTCTTCAAAGAAGCAATCATTCAAATTTTATAGAAACCTTCCTAGAAACCAGAAAATTTCAGTGAATTTTAGTAGGCTAGTTTGATCCTGATCTTCAAAACAGAAAACAGAACTTCTCCAAAATTAAAAATACAGGGCAGTTTCACTTAGGGACATAGATAAAAAATCATCCAGAAAATAATAGCACATTGTCCAGTAATGTATTAATATTAACATGAGTGAAATGAATATTAGAAGACTGTAAGACTTGTTCAGCAATATAAAATGTCTTAATATATTGTGATAGAAGGTATTATTTTTTCTACAGATTAATTGTCCCAAGTTGGAATAGAGTTATACTTCCCCATCACATTTATGTTAGCCTTAGGCATGTAACTTGCTTTAGTTGATGAAATACCAGTACAAGTAACAGGTAGAAACTTCAAAAGTCATCATGACTTCTCCATGATTATTATTTTTTCTTTCATAAAACCAATAACGTTCAAGAGAAGCTTTTCTTTACTTTGCCATTTGTAAACAAAGAAAAATATTTTTTTCTTTCTTTTTGTTTTTCTTCAACTTTTATTTAAGTTCGGGGTACACATGCAGGATGTGCATGTTTGTTACATAGGTAAATGTGTGCCATAGTGGTTTGCTGCACAGATTATCCCATCACCTGGGTATTAAGCCCCGTGTCCATTAGCTATTTTTCCTGATGATTTCCCTTCCCCCACACCCCCAGACAGGCCCCAGGGTGTGTTGTTTCCTGCCATGTGTCCATGTGTTCTCATCATTCAGCTCCCACTTATAAGTGAGAATATGTGGTATCTGGTTTTCTGTTTCTGCATTAGTTTGCTGAGGATAATGGCTTCCAACTCCATCCATGTCCCTGCAAAGGACATGTTCTTATTCGTTTTCATGGCTGCATAGTATTCCATGGTGTATCGGTACCACATTTTTTTTTTAATCCAGTCTATCATTGGTGGGCATTTAGGTTGACTCCAAATACTTGCTATTGTGAATAGTGCTGCAGTGAACATACATGTGTGTGTATCTTTATAACAGAATGATTTATATTCCTCTGGGTATATAACCAGTAATGGGATTGCTGGGTCAAATGGTATTTCTGCCTTTAGGTCTTTGAGGAATCACCACACTGTCTTTCACAATGTTTGAACTAATTTATACTCTCACCAACAGTGTAAAATCATTCCCTTTTTCTCCACAGCCTTGCCAGTATCTGTTGTTTTCTGACTTTTTAATAATAGCTATTTTGACTGGTGTGAGATGGTATCTCATTGTGATTTTGATTTGCACTGAGAGAAGCTTTTCTGTTAGCATAGATTCTGGATTGCAGACAGCATGGAGTAGGGCTGCAGCCAACCTGTGATGGACACATAGCATGAACAAGAAATAAGCCTTTATTGTTTTAAGCTACTGAGTTTTGAGAGTGCTTTGGTCTGAATGTTTGTGACATGAGGCAAAGCCCTCATGAATGAGATTAGTGTTCCTACAAAGGAGGCCTTAGAGAGCTGCCTGGCCTCTTCTACCATGTGAGGACAAGGTGTTCTATGAACCAGAAAATGGGCCCTCATCAGATACTGAAGCTGCCTTGATTTTGGACTTCTCAGCCTCCAGAACTATGAGAAATACATTTCTGTTGTTTATAAGGTACCCTGTTTATGGTATTTATTTTTTTAAAGCAGACCAAAAGGACTAAGACAGGGGGTTGTTATTATAGTGAAATTTAATCTATTCTGACTGATTTAGAAACATTTTTGTTTAACATGAGGGACAAGGCAAGGATACATAATTGTACCTAAATATACAACTTATAGTATTGGAGTTCCTAGCCATCTCAAAAGGTCAAAGAAACAAAAGCAAGATAAGTATGCATTGTAAATAAAAAAGTAATATAACTCTCATTATTTGTAGTGATATGGATGCTTACATTACCAATTCCACTTTACAAAGTATTAGAATTAATATGAGTTTAAAATGTGACAAGGCATATAAAAGTGGACTGCATTTCTAGATACGAGCAAAATGATAAAAGATTTAAATAAAATATGCAATGTAAATAGCATAACATAGTGAAAATATCTAGAAATAATGCATAAGAAATGGCATAAGATATTTTTAAAGCTAGCTGTACAACGATACTCACAATCATTATAAAAGACCAAAAATAAATAGATAGAAACAAATCATGTTCATGGCTATCATAAATATGACAATTCATCTCAAACTGATTTATGGCTAAAATGCAATTTGCATTAAAATTCTAACATTGTTTGTGTGGAACTTGATAACCTTGCCTAAAATTTATATGACAAAGCAAAGGGCTCCAAATATACAAAATATTTATGAAGAATGACATATTAGAAATACTTTTATACCAAATATGATGGTTTATTTTAATGCTATAGTAATTAAGAATGTGTGATATTGAAATAAGGATCAAAAAAGAACATACTGGACAAAGTAATGAGCATACAAATATTTCTGCACATCTATGAATACTTTATTTGTTACAGAGATGGCACTGCAATTAACTGAAAAAAAGGGATATACTTTTTAAAAAGAGCTCTGATAACTGATTATATCTATCAAAGATAAATAAAATAGAATCAAACTTCACACCACAAAAATATTCAATTGCAGGTAAATCAAACATTTAAGTGTTAAAAAAGGCTCAGGAATTTAATTTAGTGATGTGCCTAAAGTACTAGAAGAATGCCTCACAGATGGTTATGGCTCAATAAATTATTTGAACAAATATGGGCCTATAAGAAATCAGGGTAAGAAATGGTTTATTTGAAAAATGGTGTCTAGAATAAACAATTAAAAATTGATAAATGCTGATAATTAAAAGTAAGCATTTCTGTTCATCAAAATATATCATTAAAAAGTATACAAGCAGGCCAGTTGCAGTGGCCCACACTTGTAATCCCAACATTTTGGAAGGCTGAATTGAGAGAATCACTTTAGGCCAGGAGTTTGTGACAGCCTTGGCGACACAGTGAGACCCCAAATCTACAAAAATTTTAAAATTACACTGGGATGGTGGTGTACGCCTATAGTTCTAGCTACCCTGGACACTGAGGCAGGAGGATAGCTTAAGCCTAGGAGTTTGAGGCTGCAGTGAGCTATGATCACACCACGTCACTCTAGTCTGGGCAACAGAGCTAGATCCTGTGTCTTAAAAAATAAAGTTTAAAAACATAAGCTAAAAACTGGCAAAAGATATTTGCTTCAAATTTACATTACAATTTTAGTATTTAGACTATATGAAGAACATCTGCAAATCAATAAGAGAATGAAAACAACTGTTGAAAAAAGATTGGCAGAAGACAGGAAATGCCATGCTGGTGAGCAGCCATAGACATCATCAGTGAACATGAACAGGAGGGAAGACAGCTCTATTGGATATATATATATATATATATATATATATATATATATATCCATATCCATATCTATCTATATATATCTATGTATCATCTCGCTCTCTCTCTCTCTCTCTCTCTCTATATATATATATATATATATGTATGTATGTATGTATCACTGGCCTTAGATCAGTGTCTAAACTTTGCAGAATTTCCCATGAAATGTTGTCATGGCAGGGAGCACAAAAGATCAGAAATGCAGACAGTAAATTATAACCATAAATGCTTCCTTGAAATTTTTCTGTGTATCTTGAGTACAACAGAAGGTGAAATAATTCATATATATATATTTTTTAAATCAAAGGTGGAAATATTGATGTTTAACTGGTTAGTTAAATTTCATTTATCTACTTATAAACATATGTGTGTGTGTATATATATATATATAATCTTTTGTGTGTCTGAAATATCATAATGAAAAATGATAATGAAATAAAAAAGAGCCATGTCTGTTTAGGGACTCTTAAAAAGATACCACTGTAATTGTGGATTGACAATAACCACAATAAAAAGAGATAGCTATGATTGATTGGGTGCTTTTTATAGTGTCAGGTGCTGATAATTTTACATATAGTTTACATAAATTTTACATACACAGTCAAATACATGTTGGGTAGCTCATCTCTCTTGTCTAAGAAGTAGAGCTTTGACTAGCTAGATTCCATCAAACCACAAACAAAATTTAAGGATTAAGAAATACTTCTTATTCCAACTTTTTGGAATCAATGTAGAGAAACACAAAATGTTAGGCAATTGTAGTGGACTTTACAATAGTGAATTTCAGAGACGTTGTCTCCACCCATGCTGTTCAGGATGCATTAAATATACATCCGTGGTGCATACTGAAGACAAGAGTAAATCATTAGACTAACTCTTCCTCCAACTGACCTTCATCTCTTTCCTCTTACTGATTCCTTTATGGTTTGGTATTGATTCATTAACAATTGCAAGAATTATCTTAATTCTTCCTAAGCATGTAAAATAACTACCCACAATCATTCATTCGTCTGTTCAATATTGAATACTAAGGATAAGAATATTGAATATTGTTCAATATTGAACTACTAAGGATAAGAATCTATTCAAAAACAAGTTCTCCAGGAGCTTGCATATAACTAAGCCAAGCAATTATTTCTTTTTCTTTTTCAATACTAGTCAGAAGACATTTTTCTCCAGCCAATATTTTTTGCTATAAAAATTTTGTTGGGAACAATTTTAGACATTGTACAAACATTCCGAGAAGCAAAGCTGTGAGGACAAAATAATTAGGTCAAAAGGTCTGCTTTACTACAGAGCATTTGTTTAGCCAGAGCTTGTGATACCACAGAACTTTTTCATTTCCAAGGCGGTATAAGTTCACTCAGGGTTCCCTCCCCAGCCATCTCACAATGAGCAGTTGTTCACAGTCAATTCCTGCCCAGTTCCACTTGTAGAGGCTTCTGCCTCTATCACACAGTCATGTTTTCTGTCTAAATCACATCTCAGTTTAGACTTTAGGCCATTTTTTTCTCAGTTAACTTTTACACTGCTGAATATTTTAAGTGTATTATATTGACAATTAAATGCTTCTCCGTAGGAAGCCTGTCAGCCAGCAGCATGAATTCGAGCCACATGTGCATACAATATGGTGAATGCCGCAGTCTGTTGCTAGGTAGGTTGAATTCAAGCTTTCTGCCTACACACACCACTTGCAGTTGGTCCAAGCCTGTAGCACCATTTCTGGAACCCTGGAAACTAGATATGGTGAACAGTTTACCTGCAATGTCTGTGTTTTGCACACCAGATGGCTGGCTTATTGTTTTCACATGTAAGAAATAAGTGGAAGTAGCACATTGAATGGTCTATAAATAAATAGTACGTTAAGCACCATTTTGCCAAGTACTTTACAGACTTTTTAGTCTGATGTGGAAATAGATCCTGTCACAGGTTTTCTGTTATGAATGCAAATTTAAGGCATAGTTATATTCATGGTAAAAACAAGATGATTAGGACAAGAATTCTTGCCTGCTATTTCATTTTTGCCACTAAGCTGCCTCTGTTGCCTTTGTTAGATGAATGAGTTTTGCTTGGTGAAAAGGAATAAAATCCACAAGGTCTTTGGTCAATTTCCCTGAGAAAAATGATCAGATCTATAGGAATACATAACAGGTCTTGTTCTCACAGGTTGGCAACCTCCATGATAATCTTCAGTAGTGACTCAGTGGCCTCAGATCAGTGTCTAAACTTTGCAGAATATTAAAAACTTTCCCATGAAATGCTGCGATGGAAAGGAGCACAAAAGATCAGAAATGCAGACAGTAAATTATAACCATAAATGCTCCCTTGAAATTTTTCTTTGTATCTTGAGGAATTACAACAGAGGCTGAAATAATCTATTAAAGTGATTTAAGACCTGAGACAAATTTTTTTTGCCAATAATTATTTAAGGAGCTTATGTTATTAATCCTGAGAATGCTGATAAGCATTGAGATCTCTCATAAGCATGTGAAAAATGTGGGTTCTGTCACTATTTAAAAGATAGAATTTATATTTAGAACCGTTTCCTTAGCAGAATTTAATGCTCCAGCTATAGGCAATATTCATATATACAGAAAGATAGTAGCATCAATGTATGTGTGTGTTCGTATGCTTTCTCAATGGTTTGCTTAGAAAAGTTCCAAAATGTATAATTACAAGCTACTGAAAAAAACTCATAATAATTTTAACTAAGAAAAATAGCAGTAAAATGTTTGAGAACAATAATGATTTGTACATAAAGCAAACGCTTTTGAAATAATGTGAAGAGACTTTTGAAGTAATGTGAAGTCGCACAGTTTTATTTGAAGGATCATGAACAGTGTCATTGTTGATTGTATCAGTCTGTGATTTGGCTGATCTGGAAATCTGCCACTAGTTATTCTCTTAAAAGCAGAAGTAGTAAATTAATATTTTCGGAGAAAAACAGAAAAGGAAACATAAAGCAGACAGAAGAAATAGTATAATTACTCCATTAGTGATTTTTTTCTTTCATCCACAAAGCTCTTCTTCATTTTATGTTTTTCTTGCCGGTATGAATTACGGTAGATAGGGGAAAATTTATAAGTGAAAAATGACTCTGATAAATAGTGAGAGTCCAAGGAAATCAAGCTGAGTCCCCGTTAGTCATGTGCCAGTGTAAGTAGCAATTGTCAAGAGCCCTCATAGACCAAGGCAACCATTCAAACCTGCTGAAAACTGGGGACACTACATAATGAAACTTTCTATAATACAAAGTTTTTTTTTTAAACAAGTTGAATTGGAGCTTCCAATATCAAAGAAAAAAAAAAAAAAACATGTGGAGGTAGGAGAGCTGTACCCAACAGTGTTTCTCTGTAATTGACACACATATTCATACCTAATTTCTTCCATGCATTTTTCCATGTTTCCTACCCCCAAGACATTTGCATATCCTATTCTTTCTCCCCCAAATACTCTTCTCCAAGTGCACCAATTTCTTGACTTCTCATAAACTTCACCAGGAACTGGTGTGGCATGCCATTGAACTCTCACTACCATCACGTATTGAGGCTTTTCTCCAGTTGTTTTTGAAGTAATAATTGCACTTTAATAACTGGGGACCAACAACAACCAAGATAAGACCTCTGCCTTGAGAACCTTAGAGAATGAGACACTTGAGGTGAACTTCCAGCAAAGGGAAGTTTAAACAATCTTACCACTTGCATAGATTTTGGTCAGTCTGGAATGATTGAAAAGGGTTCTTCATGTGAAGGGCACCCTCCTGGGCATAGAGGAGAAAGCAGCTAGTCTATCTTCTCAGTCCATGTCATGACATCATTTCCAATGAAACCTCTTTTGAAGGGGAGAAATACAGTCAGAGCAGCCACAATTCCTGTGCTATCTTCCTGTGAGTGAGAAGGGTAGCTTCACAAGGATATGGTGCCTCTTCCTGCCTTCCAGCAAAGCTCAGCTGCTGGGATAGGGCACCCTTCTAGTAGCAACTCATATCCAACCTCTTAACTCCCCATGTTTGATAAAATAAATCCTCATGTTTTATAAAAATCTTCATGTTTTATAAAATGAAAATTAAATAAAATTAATTCATGAAAAATGAGAGGGGATCTTAACAATTTTACAATGAAAGGGTACTACCAATTTTTCTAAAAAATGCAATATTAAGATGATTCTGGATGATAAAAATCCTATTTCTGTTCACTTTGAAGAAAATAATTACATAATGATAAAAAATAAATTTGAAATAAATATTTCAAGGAATTGAGAATATGAAAACTAAATATTTTAAATCGTTTCCTAGCATGTTAATTGCAAATAACAGTTAATACAGGAATATTACTATATACTTAATAGTACATGAAATTATAATAAAAGTGTTTTGGAAAAAAATCACAAAATAAAATTTTAAAAATACGAGTCATTATTAGCATGGCAATGCTGGCTCTGGAGTCAAATTCCGTGGTTTTAATCCTGGCTCTGCCACTTGTTTACTATGTGATATGGTTTGGACGTTTGTCCCCGCCAAAACTCATGCTGAAATTTGATTCCCAGTGTTGGAGGTGGAGCCTGATGGAAGGTTGGATCGGGGGGCAGATCCCCCCATGAATGGTTAACACCATGCCCTTTGTGATAAGTGAGTTCTTGCTCAGTTAGTTCACTAGAGATCTGGTTGTTAAAAAGAGTCTGGAACCTCCTCCTTCCCTCTCTCTTGCTCCCTCTCTTGCCATATAACATATTGGCTCCCCTTCTCCTTCCAACATGATGGTAAGCTTCCTGAATCCCTCGCCAGAAGCAGATGCTCTGATACCATGCTTCATGTACAGCCTACAGAACCGTGAGCCAACTAAACTACTTTTCTTTGTAAATTACTCAGTCCCAGGAATTCCTTTATAGCAATGCAAGAGCAAACCAACACACTATGTGACCTTCAGGGGTCACTTAACTTCTCTATGACTGTTTCTTCATCTGTAAAAATAGGGAAAATATTAAATAAATTAATTCATTTAAAGTATTTAAGTAATATTTGCCTTCATTAAGGAGAATAATCTATATATTTGATAATAGATGATTATTTTAAAAATAATCCATATATTATTAAAATTGTGCAAGTGATTACTATTATTATTAACTATGGAATAGTAAAACAATACTGTCTGCTTTTTCATTGTTTTTCATTTTCTTACTATTCTTATAATCATTTAATGATACTCTACTGCTTCCAATAAAAAGTTATGCTCCTGAGCTTACCTTGCAAAGCCTCTCATAATCCCAGGACAATGTTCAGTTCTCAATGATCTAGCTATGATCTTTCTTGCTATAGGTCTTTGCTCATCTTTTCTTGCTTTGATGTCCTTTCCCCACCAGTGTTACCTATCTTTGCCTGTCTTCTTCTGGTGAATCTCTGTAACACATTCTTAACCCTTTCCTACCACTATATTGCAATCATTTCTTTGTTAAATGGCTCTTCCACTAGACTGTCAATAGATTAAGGGCAGGGGTTATTTCCTTATATTTTACACTCTTGTACCCTCTGAACCTAGCCCAATAACTTCCCACTGTAAGTGTTCAATAAATGTTTGATAAACAAATGATGAGGATTATAATTGACAAGACTGCTCTGGAAATAAACCTTGTCTTTTTTGAGAGAGACAGTTAAAACTCTAGACTAGAGTGGTTCTAGACCACTCTAGACCAGTGGTTTTCAAGATTGGCTGCACATTAGAAACTATCCGAATAGCTTTTTAAAAAATACCAATGCTCAGAACCTGCCATTTTTAATCATTGGAATCCCTAAGCAGTGCTACCCAGCCATAAATATTTTTAAAAGTTCCCAAGTGATTCTATTGAAACATTATAATTGAGAACTCTGGTCTAGGATAATATTTTTTCAGTATCCAGTTCATGACAATAGTTATAAACAAAACCTGAAATCTTTTAAATCTAAAATCCTACTTCTACGGGTGCCTTTAAGATATTGTAACTCATAGCAGTTATTTAAGACTGTGGAGTTTTTGATGTTATTAATGAATTTTCCAACAATTAGATGTGGCTTTATTACCCTGTAATTATTGAAAGTTACTTTTTGTTTCTGCCAGGTAACCTAGATGAGGTAAGTACAACTGGGCCTGCAGAGTTTTATTTAGCTGCAGAATTAGGTTGTTAAGTCAGTCCTTAAATGTCCTAACTTTCATTTGGGTCATGTTAAAAAGTCTTGGCTGAATAATAAATTTGAAAATATAAAAATTTTTCTCTCTTGAATGTTCTATATGTATCTAAAATGCCCAGTTAAGTCTTAGTCACTGAAACTTCTTACTAGTGTTTTCCAAGTTCAAATATAATCATCCCTCTCTATCCACAGGGGATTGCTTCCAGTACCCTCACAGATACCAAAATCTACAGATGCTCAAGTCCCCTATGTAAAATGGTGTGGTATTTGCATAAATCTATGCATATCCAACCATATCCTTCAAATAATCTCTGGATTACCTAGAATACCTAATGCAATATAAATGGTATGCAAATGGTTGTTATGCTGTATTATTTAGGGACTAATGACAAGAAAGAAAGATCTGTACATGTTCTGTACAGATGCAATTTAAAACATATTTTTGAATTTACAGAAGCAGAACTCATGGATACAAAAGGCCGACTGTATATGCTTTTAGCAAAATTACTCTTTGTTATTTGAATTTTAATCTACATTTAAATGGTCACCAAAAATATTACAGTTGGTTCTTTTCTCTCTAGACTAGAATAGAATGAGAACAGTAGATTTAAAAGTAGCTTTTCTTATCAACAGTTTCATGGTCAATAATGGTCAGTCAGAAAGGTCAGCCAGACCATTAATTATCTTTAAGTTATAATAATATTTTATGTTATACAAATATCAACATAGCAGAGTTTTCAATCCCTGATATTTTAAAGCTCTCAGAGCCATAGACCTTATTTTCAGTATTTTAAGATACTTTACCTATTTTTAATAGAAATAATTCTCCATGTCAATATTTTGATAGGAATATATTGCTAGTGTTGTAAATTCTTATATCATGGAATTTTTATCCTCATGACATTGCTATTTATAAAAGCTTAAATGTCCTAGAAAATGAAACCAATGAAGCTATTTTAGTAGCTTAAATCTTCTTTGTATTTAGAATCTGCATATCTATTGATCAGTAACAAATATTTGTTTTACATTCTCAGCTTCAAAGTTGAAACTAAACTTATTTTTTAACATGTGACCTAACTTAGGTAGACAATGTAAATATTAGAAGATGAATTGTGATTATCTAGTTTATAGTGTAAAAATGAAATTTTCTGAAGGTAACCAGAAAAACTTCTAAAATTGAAAAACAAAAATGAAGCTTTGGCAGCAAATGTTTTGAGAAACCTGGAACACTAAAAGAAATGTGAAATGTTTCCCCATAGCTCCAGAGCTAAAACTTAATTCTTGCACCCAACTTATATGCCACTAATTTTTATATATGTTTGAAACATTTTTTTAAAAAGGAATCAAAAAGAAGAGTAGAGATTTCAACCAGTCAATATGTCAGCTGTGTAATAAGTTACTTTTGTTTTTTGATGCTGTCTCCTAGATTTGAGAGCTATTGCTATTTTGGGATGTTAATACCCAGGTTATGAATTGTACTTTGGCTTGGAGGACATGAACCCTAACAATTTTCTTCAGGTTTATATGGAATCCATACTACATGTCTCAATGAAGAGTGCTGGTGAAAGGTGATTGAAAAAGTGTCAGTTTGAATATAATACTTGACATTTTGCAAAAACTTATTTTAATTAAATTTTCTTCACCTACTAAAACATTAGAAAACTATTTTTGGTGTAATTTTAATATCTAACACTTGGTACAGTCCAACCTACCCACACTTTGCTCAGAAGCTCTATAATCTTTGCTTGGTACAACTTGTATTTCAGGACTGCCCGTCTGAGCTCAGGAAACGTTGAGTTTCACTAAAGGTATGACTTTGCAGTGTTCTCAAAATGTAATATGCATTCAAACCACCTGGGCACATTGTTAAAATGCAGATTCAGATTCAGTAAGTTCAGGATGTGGATGAGTTTCTGCAAACGGAACAAGCTCAAATGATGTTACTATGGCAGGTTCATGAACCACCCTTTGAGTAGCAAGAGGCAGCTATTACCAGTTGTGTAACTGCCTGGATTTTTCAGTCCCAATGCTATATTACAGAGGTAAGCAAGTCTTTTTTAAGATGGTAAATGTTTTGATAAGCACACAACATTACAACTTTGTACACAACCTTTTATGGCATTCCTTTCAAACCTGAGTTCTCAAAATATCTAGGATCAACCACTTGAGAGGGCATCTTTAGAAAATTTTTGAAGTAGTAGAAAAAGACAGAGACCATTACTATACATATATAACTCACTATTGGGTGACAAATATAGCTTCCCAGTTAATTCCAAGCATATTATAATAACATTCCTTTTAACAAAGGTTGTGGCCATGGCTCTACCACCAAACCTTCAGAACATTTAGCAATTAACAGTGAAATTCAGTTCGTAGTTAGGCAACATGAGTGTTAAAATTGGGGCTTTGGAATAGATGTGCTGTCAGAAAATATAACAAAGCCACATGAACTAGGATGAGTGGATTCCAATCAGATTAAACTTTTATATAAATTATAATCATGTAAAACATATATCCTGGAAAGTTTTGGTATTTTAACTGTAACCAAAAGGCATTATATAAGATGACATTTTTATTCTATTTTTTCACTAAATATTATCAGAAGGCTATGTGTAGAATTTTCTTCTAATTGTAAAACTGTTTTGATTCATACAGTGGGTGAATACTTTCAGTAGATGGATGCTAAATAACACGCTGCTTTAAACATTTGCATTTGGCTTTCTTCATTATTCTTTTAAATAAATAAAATGTCTTGGAGTTGACTTTAACAATCATTTACATAATAAAAACTTATTACTTCATATACATTACTAGATGTTTTCCAAAATCAGATGTATTGGTGAGTGTGAAATTTCCTTTTTGCCTTAACTTTTTTTTCAAGTGAGCTGAGTATTTCTATCCCCTTCCTTTCACTGTAATGTTTTCTTCATACTAGTTCTGCTTAGAAAAGATTTACCAAATACTTTTGTAAACTTGAATTGATAGAGAAACAAACAGTAAAATTACTCATATATGTGATGAAAAATTAGTCCTATTTACCTTGGTTTAAAGCAGAAATTGAAATCAACAACCAATTTTTATGTCATTATAAAAATAATGACATGAAATAGTGACATAATAGTCATTATTATGACTATTTTTCAAAATATTAAAATTCAGAAAGATTTAAATGATTTGATTAGTGACTATGGGAAAATTTTTTTAAAACAATTTGGTCCTAACGTGAGATATAAGCAAGGAAATAATATTTATGAAACCAAATCTATAAATCTGAAATATTTAGTGTAGAAATGTAAATATAATATGAACAAACGCTGGAGTAACTGATTAGAATATTTAGATTTGGGGCAAATTCAGAAATAGAACTATTTCCAAATGATAAGATGAACAAATGTAGTTGGCCCATAGGCCCTTTTGTGGGAGAAAAGAAAAATCTATTTTTGTAGCAATTGTTATTGTTTTTCTAGCTTTTAAAATATGCATAATGTGCTGATTATTCCAAAATCTCCTGGGAAACAGGCACATATTTCCCTGGCTTTAGCTGTTAGAAATAGCACTCACTATGAGATCTCAAGACTATTATACTCTAAAGAACCAAATTATTTTTATTTATCTTTTGAGAAAGGGTCAAAACCCTAATAGTATGAAGGTAAACATGTCTCTCCATAGTAAGAACTATCATTCAATAATCTCTTTTTTGTTATTTTACAATATGTGTTTTCCCCAGTCTTCACAGATTTGGAAACTGAAGATTAGATGACTTCCCTGAGGTGTCACACTTGAGTGTCAAAATAGGGACTGAACCTTGGTATGTCTTCAGTTTCCGCTGTAATAACCCTTCCCCTTAATAAAAAAGTTATTAATTTTAAAATTAGGACAATACAACTCATTGAATACCAATCATGTCCTAGCCCCTTTGAGAGCAGAATTTTTTCACTGAATGTCAGCTTCACTGTTGAGATAATTATTATCCGATGCAAAATTACTTAACATTTTCAACTTTCCTTACCTCTATATTTCTTATCCCATAAAATACAGTGAATATGATATCTCTATATAGAGTTCTCTAAGGATTAAATAAGGCAATATATTTAAAATATTTATCAAACAATCTAGCACATCATATGCCTCCATTAAATGCTGGCTATAAAATTAAAATTCTAATGTCATGATATTTATTTAATTCTCACAACAGTAAATATGGGTAGATTTAATGCCTATTTTTATTAATAAGGAGCTATAGTTTGAATTGTAAGCAGTTTTTCCAGGATTTCCTGAGCATAATGTAGAGGCCAGGATCCAAACTGACAACCACATGGTTCCAGTCCCTATCATGTGCCTTGGATAAATAAAGCTTAAAAATCAAAACTTCAAATTCTACAAATTATTTCCTTGACTTAAAGTTTGTTCTTGTTTTTTTAAGACTTTACATAAAATACAGTGTTTACTCTTTTTTTTTTTTGCTCCTAAGTATTTACAAAGTTGTATGTAAATCTATGTATTTGATCAGAAAAGCAAATTATATTCAGAGATACATTTTAAGTGGGTGTCATCTTAACCTTCTGTAAGGCAGAAAAAGATGAATCATAGTTTTGAGGGATGATTTTAATAATGTATTGAGAATAAATCTCAAATTTTTAGGAATGAATATTATTGAAGGTGTTGTTTTAACCTAACAGTTGGTAAATCATGTGTGTTTTACAGATTTATTGTTGAAAAGTTAATAATTTTTGAGAAGTACTTGCAGCCTCCTTGAAAAAGAATAATTTCAGAAAGCACTGGAAACTATATGATAATAAAAAGTGTCATGTTTTCCATGTTTATTTTCTATATCAAAAATATTAAAAATAATGAAAATATTTTCATTTGCTGTATTCATTCATCTTTTCACTGACATTTTTATAGTTTATAAGTCGTACCAAATAAATAGGTGAATTACTAACAGTATAATTTAATTCATTGCAATTTTTCCAGTGATTATTCAGACTTAAAGTAATACTTACATAGAGAGAAGGCGATGTGTGATAAGATAAATATGTGCTAATTTTGTATTTTTAAGCCATGCTTACATAACTGATTTGATTAGCTGGAGCATTTGAGAAATGTATGGATCAATCTAGATCATCCAAAGCCAAAGAAATTTTACAAATTATTAAGTTCTGCTTCCCTTTTTTAGTGACCACTTGGCCAGTAAATACTGAAAATATATTCACTGTGCACTATTCCCCAGAAAATATAAGAATTGTCTGTGGCAGGGCTGAATGTACATTTTGTGATTTTCCCATATATTTTACCTTTTATGCTTAAATTTCATTCTTCGTTTCGTTTTATAGATTTTTTTAAATTTACCTTTGTTTAACAAGATAAATCATGTATTAGACTGTTCTTGCATTGCTATAAATACATACCTGAAACTATGCAATGTATAAAGGAAAGAGATTTAATTGGCTCATGGTATTGCAGGCTTTACAGGAAGCATTGTACAGGTGTCTGCTCAGCTTCTAGGGATGCCTCAGGGAGCTTTTACTCATGGTGGAGAGTGAAGCAGGAGCTTGGATATCACTTGGGTAAAGTAGGAGCGAGAGAGAGTGGGAGTGGGGCAGGTGCCACATACTTAACCAGATCTCAGGAGAACTCGGTCACTATGAAAAAGACAGCACCAAGCTGTGAAGGTTCTGCCTCCTGACCGAACATCTCCCACCAGGCCCCACATTGAACACTGGGGGCAGGTATGTATATTCACTCTATATCAAACCTTTTAAACTGAAATGTGGCAGGGATGGTCTGGGATTGATATTTGGAGTATATTTACAATTGTTTTTAAGTCCCAAGGATGGAAACATAAAATTCATCAACGCTCCTCTATTGCACAGTATTTCCATTATTTGAGTGAAATATAACTCCGAACAATTGTGATAAATCTTTGTTTGAAATTTAATCAGCTCAAACCTCATTGGCTCTGTTCCTGGCAACTGAGCCTCTGCCATAGATGTCCTGACAGCAGAAGCCAGCTAAGAGCACACTGTGTTTGTGCTTTTTATATTGAACATATTTTTCATGATGAGTGGAAACTGTGGGGCCAGGTCGGGGGATCTTTAATGTGATAAATGCTTCCGAAATTATTGTTCTGTTAAGATGACCCTCCCTTTTAGCACTCATCCAGGGAAAATCTGGATGGACTATTTTATGAGGATACTAACATTGGACTTCACACAAACAATCTACTTAATCTGATCTATTTTTAGCATTACTGTTTCCCAGAGTGGGGAAAAAGAAGGACTGAGTTAGATCTGAATATCTGGGGGAAATGGCACAAGTAGGCAGAAGATGAGGCTTTTAAAAACCTGTTTCTAGGTAGTCAACAGGAGATGAAGGAAGCGGCTGGAATGAGTTACTGCCATCTTCCCAGTTTGCCCACCACTCCCACCACCACAAATGAGTATGGTAAAGAACTAATAAAATAAGTTTAAAAAAAAAACAAAAGTCAAAGCAACAATGTTCTAATTATCAACTATCAACCAAAATTTTTGCAAAATTATTTACCTTTATTATTTGTTATTTTTTAAAATACAATTTGTTTTGAGAGAGAAAGAGAGAGGCAGGCTTTTCCCAAGTGGATCAAGGTAGGATAATTAATTTGGGGAAAGGAAACTAGAGGACAGGTATTTAATACCTTGAAGTGGGGCAACGTTTGTGGTTCCACCCAAGTGGAGTTCACCGCTTTGGCTTACCTGTTCAGCCAGATGTGCTTCAAGATGGTAGTTCAAAGCTTCAGGAACTATCCCCGAGAAAGAACAGAGGTTTCAAAATAACTTTATTCTCTTCTTTGTTCCATCGTACATCGCTCATTCTGTCTGTATCATCTGCCTCACATTTCTTCTGCTCTGAACTGCTGCTGTCCTAGATACTGACAGCTAGTTTGGGTAGTTTATTTCCACCCTAAGAATTGTCTCCAGGCATAAGCACTGGTTATTATTTACCAAAGTATTAACTAAAAACTCTCAGAATTTTTTTCAGCTAATTCTTATAAAATATTCATGCAGATATTTGGCCCTCTCAGAGATAAGAAGCCAAACCAAAACACTTAGTTCCAAAATCCTAATAAAACATTAGCTACAATCTTCAAGGAGGTTAAATTAACAGTTCACAAATGTAAAACTTGGTATAACATTATAGAAAAAAAGCTTAATGTCAGTTACTTGTCTGGCTTGTTAAAAGTTTTTAGATAAGGAAAAGTAAATTGAATACTTTTAAAAGGCTCAACTATTAAAAGAAGTAAATTTGGAAAAGATTTGATTTGCTGGAAAATCCTGACAGTGTTTATATATGTCACAGAATCTCAGTCATTAAAATTATGAAAGTGACACCATGACAGTAATGGATTTTGACATCTGGTACATTGCAGTGAGAAAATGCTACTAAGCAGAATGTCTGAGCAATTACTCTTAACTATGACTTTTGTATTGCAAAAATGTCATGTAAAATATTAGAAAAGAAAATAATTATTTTTTTTTCCTCTGGAAATACAAAAATTTAAATTCTAAAGACTTTTTTTGAGTTCATTTCTTATGTATTTCAAACATTTATTGAATGGCAGCTGTTTAGTATTCACAATAAAACAAAGACTCTGGCTTCTAGAAATTATACTCCTAGCATTTTATTTCTCTCATTGGCAAAATATATGGTTTTGAGATGAGTTATAAAGTTGCTTTTTTGATTTGATAGCATTTCCTAAATTGATACCCTGAATGTACCCAAAGTTCTAAGAATGTCTACTCTGGATACGTAAGATTCCATTGACAGCAATGGAAGTGAATACAATAGCATAGCAAAATTGTTTCCCAGGAGAAATAATTAAACCTAATTATGATTGCAGTTATCCATTTATCACTTTGTGGATCCAAAATTCAGTTATTTTAAGTCAAGTATACAATGTCATTGAGAAACAAGAGTTTCTTATATTTGGGAAGACATTTAATGTTCTAGAAATTTTACTTGACCACTATAGATTACCAGCAGAAGATGTTTCTTAAAAATGATTTCATGAAATAAGTATCTGTATAAAGGTGACCCAAATCTGATATATTTTCACAAGACCTTTAAAAGCTTTCTGCTAATATTTAATTCTTGAAATCATTTTGCTTGAGTAGAAAAAACATATAATTTTTATGCACACATTTATATACCTATCCACTTTCTCACTTTCTCTCCTTCCTTCTCATTCTCTACACACACACACACACACACACACGCACACACACACACACACAGAGTCAAATGTATAAGTACTATATAAGCTAATAAGCTATAAGCTAAAGGGGAACATAAAAATGTATACACAATATCTGTATTGTTTTGTCATAGAACTTCAGAAATTAAAAAAAAAAAAGCTAGATTTATTGAAATTCATGGCAAAGATCTTTTGGCTTGACCATAATGGAGTAGCTGGTGTAGCTTTTACTTTCTCACTATAAGGTATATACCCAAAGGACTATAAATCATGCTGCTATAAAGACACATGCACATGTATGTTTATTGCAGCATTATTCACAATAGCAAAGACTTGGAACCAACCCAAATGTCCAACAATGATAGACTGGATTAAGAAAATGTGGCACATATACACCTTGGAATACTATGCAGCCATAAAAAATGATGAGTTCATGTCCTTTGTAGGGACATGGATGAAATTGGAAATCATCATTCTCAGTAAACTATCGCAAGAACAAAAAACCAAACACCGCATATTCTCACTCATAGGTGGGAAATGAACAATGAGATCACATGGACACAGGAAGGGGAACATCACACTCTGGGGACTGTTGTGGGGTGGGGGGAGGGGGGAGGGATAGCAGTGGGAGATATACCTAATGCTAGATGACGAGTTAGTGGGTGCAGCACACCAGCATGGCACATGTATACGTATGTAACTAACCTGCACAATGTGCACATGTACCCTAAAACTTAAAGTATAATAATAAAAAAATAAATAAATTAAAAAAAAAAAGAAAGTCTATTGGAATGGAAAAAAAGAGGATTTAACTGTGTTTATAGTGTTTTACATCCCTAACAGAAAAATGATGATCTGTAGAAAATATGGCAAAGTGTTAATAATAGTTAAGTCTAGTGGCTGGTATGTGGGTGGCTCATTCTTTTATGTATATTTGAATTATTTCATAATAAAAAATAAAAACATTAAGATAAAAAAAAAACTATTTAAGCTGGAGAAAGTTTAAAAAATGATGTCAGCATTCTTAGACAGCAACCAACATGGCCTTAACACTTGAGAGAGGAATATGTGAGATGAGCTTCATATTTACATATATTTTCTCCCTTACAGTATTTTCCAAATCATAGTAGAAATAATGAGATGAACAGTCCTCAGTAGTAGAAAGAGTAATCAGTATTAAGCCCTCCATGGCAACTTGAATTTGGGAGTACAATGCCCATGAAATAGGAGCTGTAAAGGAGCACCAAAAATCTTTGCAAAAATTAGAGTCTTTAGCCAGCTTCTACATTGTACTTATACTGAGATTCTAAGGTATCTGGGAAAAAAAAACCTACAAGCAGAGATTTTAAGAAAATTTTGGATTTTAGCATAAAGTGCACACACCCTTCAAGTAAGACCCTTGAAAGCCTAGTACCTATAAATTATAGCTGTGCTCTAGGAGAGAATAAACTGTAGAAATAATGGAGAAGCTAAAAGAGATGTGGTTTAATGAGGACTAAAATCAAGACTTAAGAGAATTTACACATTTTAATTGGCATTTCTCTATAGAAGACATCTTAACGCAATGTCTCTACAGTATGTTATCTACAATATTAGCATAACAGAAAAAAATTATTAAATATGCTAGGAAGTGAAAAAAGTGACAGATAATTAAGAGATACATTAATCAATAGAAGTAGACTCTAGAATGATCCAGATGTCACAGCTGGCAATAAAGGACTTCAAAATAGCTGAAGAAATAGATAATTAAGAATGGATTAAAACCTAAAGCATTTCAAAGGAGAAGTTGATTCTATAAAAATAATCCAGTCAATATTTTGGAACTGCATTATATGATATTTGAAAATCAGAACTAATTTAATATGTTTCATAGCATACCGGACACAGCAAAAAATAGTGAACTCAAAGAGAGGTTAATAGAAAAATACTGAAACTAAAACAAAGAGAAAAATATAGATATATACAGCACAATTCAGATGTTATACATGTGGACCTGCTTTAAAAAAAGCTGTAGTCGTGTAGTTGCAATATAAGGAAAAGAAGAGAGAGAGTAAATGGCAGAGAAAATATAAGTCTACAGAAATACTAAACAGGATTATTCCAAATTTGATAAAAGACATCAAGCCACAGATTGAAGAATCTCTGTAAAGCCCAAGCTAGTCCACTGAAACATTTTTCTCTATACATAGTGCCTCTCCAAATGAAAATGATATAGTCGGCTTGAAATTATTGCAGTTCTGCTGTAAAATGCCTAGCAAGTCCTAGTCTTGACTTTATCACTAAAAGTAGAGTTGTAAAACAATCCCTCAAATGATAATAGAAGCCATAGCATTTATGTAGACCACAAACTATTCAGACCCCAAAGATGTCAAATAATAGACTCACGGTATATTTGCCTTTGGAAAAAAAAAAAGATGATGACACTTTCTCAATTAAACTCTAATCAATTTAAGTGACTACTTTTCTCCCGGTTTCCAAGTATTTGGATGGGTATTTAGTAAATAGTTTTCTATTGTGTCTTTCGTATAAAATGTATAAAAATTTTTACATATTTAAAATGCTTTATTAAATATAAAAGTAATGCCTCTGGGTTAAAAGCACTGGAGCCTGGACAGCCTTTGAAAAAGTACTTCACATATAATTATCATCTTTATCATCTTTAGTTAATAAGGATATATATTCCCCAATATTCTTCAATAAATTACAGTAAAGTAAGAGTTAAGATAACATCACACACACAAAAAAATGATTTTTAAATACGGAGAAAGACATGTGAATTGTTAGAACTGCACTGTCTTGTATAGTGGCCACTAGCCATAGAGGTTATTGAACACTGGAAATCTGAAAACAAATTGAACACCGAAAAATGGTTTTGTCTGCCTGAAACAGAGTGTATCATCTACAGTTATTGCCTTCAGTGGTCAATATATAATCATCTGGTCAAAATTTTTTCTTGTGTTGTTTATTATATTGTTACTGATTTTTATCTGTTTGTTCCATCAAATACCCCTCAATGTTGTGGATTTGTGTTTTTTTTTCTTGAAATTTTGGCAATTTTTGTTTTATATATTTTGATGCCCCCATATTAATTGTAGATAAGCTTAGAATTTGTACATCTTCCTAATAGATATAAAACTTTCCATTCATATGAAATAACCATTTATAGCCATTAATGTATTGTTTTTGTCTTGCAGTTTATTTTGTCTGATATGAATATAACAATATTACCTTCTTTTTGGTTCAGGTTAAGTAATACATTTTCTCTATCCTTTTACTATATGCCTTTGGTAAATTCATGTTTTGATGTGTCTCTTGTAAATAGTCAATATTAACTAATTTTTATGCATCCTAACAAATCTTTGAGTAGATAATTATGTTCATGAATATTTAGTATAAGCACTTTTTTAAAGATACACATCTACTATCTCACTATGTGCTTTCTCTTTGACTACATATTCTATGTAGGTTAGTTCATTTGTTTAGTTTTTTCATTGTCTTCTTTGGGTTTTCAATCTTTTATGAATGTTTTAAAATTTGTTTTGTGACCTAACATATGGTCTATCCTTGAAAATGATCTATGTGCTGAGGACAAAAATGTGTATTTTGCAGCTCTTGGATGAAATGTTTTATAAATATATATATTAGATCTATTTTCTCTCTAGTGTATATTAAGTCTTATGTTTCTTATTGATTTTCTATCTGGAAGAGCTGTCCAATGCTGAAAGTGAAGTGTTGAAGTCTCCAACTATTATTATGTTGGGGCCTATCTCTCTCTTTAGCTCTGATATTTCCTTTGTATATCTGGGTGTCCCAGTGTTGGGTGTATATATGTTTATATTTAAAATTGCTATATCCCCTTTTTGAATTAACCCATTTTTCCTTATATAGTGTCCCTTCTTATAGTTTCTTATAGTTTCCTATAGTTATTGTCTCTTCTTATAGTTTTGGTCTTAAAATCTACTTTGTCTGATGTAAGTATAGTAACTCCTGCTTTTTGCTGGTTTCCATTGGCATGAAATACCTTTTTTCATCTTTTACTTTCAGTCTATGTGTGCCTTTATAGTGAAGTATGCTTCTTGAAGGCAACAAATCAATGGGACTTGTCTTTTTGTCCACTCAACCAGTCTATGTCTTTTGATTGGAAAGTTTAGTCCATTTACATTCAATGTTATTATTGACAAATAAGGACTTACTCCTGCCATTTTGTTATTTGTTTTCTTGTTGTTCTGTGGTCTTTTCTTCCTTCCTTTTTGTCATTCCTTTGTTCCTCTAGTGAAGATGATTTTCTCTGGTGATATGATTTAATTACGTGCTTTTTATTTATTGTGTGTTCATTGTATGTTTTTTGGTGTGAGGTTACCACGAGGGTGGTAAATACACATAACCCATTATTTTAACCTGATAATAACACTATTTGCATAAACAAGCAAACAAGTATAAAGAAAACTAAGAAAAACTCACCTTAATTTCGTTCTCCTGCTTTTTAACTTTTTGTTGTTTCTATTTATATCTTATTGTACTGACTATTCTTGAAAAGTTGGGCTTAGGGAGCCCGTCCGGCCATGGTGGCCGCGGGTGGTGGTTGGCGCGGCTGCGCTGCGGCGCGGGGCAGTGCGGAGCCGGGACAGTCGCGGCGCTGACGCCCGCGAGCCCCAGCTGCAGATATGAAGCGGAGCCGCTGCCGCGACCGACCGCAGCCGCCGCCGCCCGACCGCCGGGAGGATGGAGTTCAGCGGGCAGCGGAGCTGTCTCAGTCTTTGCCGCCGCGCCGGCGAGCGCCGCCCGGGAGGCAGCGGCTGGAGGAGCGGACGGCCCCGCGGGGCCCGAGGGCAAGGAGCAGCCGCCTGCCTTGGCCTCCCAAAGTGCCGAGATTGCAGCCTCTGCCCGGCCGCCACCCCGTCTGGGAAGTGAGGAGCGTCTCTGCCTGGCCGCCCATCGTCTGGGATGTGAGGAGCCCCTCTGCCTGGCTGCCCAGTCTGGAAAGTGAGGAGTGTCTCCGCCCGGCCGCCATCCCATCTAGGAAGTGAGGAGCACCTCTTCCCAGCCGCCATCACATCTAGGAAGTGAGGAGCGTCTCTGCCCGGCCGCCCATCGTCTGAGATGTGGGGAGCGCCTCTGCCCCGCCGCCCCATCTGGGATGTGAGGAGCGCCTCTGCCCGGCCGAGACCCCGTCTGGGAGGTGAGGAGCGTCTCTGCCCGGCCGCCCCGTCTGAGAAGTGAGGAGACCCTCTGCCTGGCAACCACCCCGTCTGAGAAGTGAGGAGCCCCTCCGCCCGGCAGCCACTCCATCTGGGAAGTGAGGAGCGTCTCCGCCCGGCAGCCACCCCGTCCGGGAGGGAGGTGGGGGGGGGGTCAGCCCCCCGCCCGGCCAGCCGCCCCATCCGGGAGGGAGGTGGGGGGGTCAGCCCCCCGCCCGGCCAGCCGCGCCGTCCGGGAGGGAGGTGGGGGGGTCAGCCCCCCGCCTGGCCAGCCGTGCCGTCCGGGAGGAAGTGGGGGGGTCAGCCCTCCGCCCGGCCAGTCGCCCCGTCTGGGAGGTGAGGGGCGCCTTTGCCCAGCCGCCCCTACTGGGTAAGTGAGGAGCCCCTCTGTCCCGGCCAGCCGCCCCGTCTGGGAGGGAGGTTGGGGGGTCATCCCCCCGCCCGGCCAGCCGCCCTGTTCCGGGAGGGAGGTGGGGGGGTCATCCCTCCGCCCGGCCAGCCGCCCCGTCCGGGAGGGAGGTGGGGGTGTCAGCCCCCCGCCCGGCCAGCCGCCCCGTCCGGGAGGGAGGTGGGGGTGTCAGCCCCCCGCCCGGCCAGCCGCCCCGTCTGGGAGGTGAGGGGCGCCTCTGCCCGGCCGCCCATACTGGGAAGTGAGGAGCCCCTGTGCCCGGCCAGCCGCCCCGTCCGGGAGGGAGGTGGGGTCAGCCCCCCACCCGGCCAGCCGCCCCGTCCGGGAGGGAGGTGGGGGGGTCATCCCCCCGCCCGGCCAGCAGCCCCGTCCGGGAAGGAAGGTGGGGGGGGGTCAGCCCCCCCACCCGGCCAGCCGCCCCGTCCGGGAGGTGAGGGGCGCCTCTGCCCGGCCGCCCCTACTGGGAAGTGAGGAGCCCCTCTGCCCGGCCAGCCGCCCCGTCCGGGAGGGAGGTTGGGGGGTCAGCCCCCCGCCCGGCCAGCCGCCCCGTCCGGGAGGTGAGGGGCGCCTCTGCCCCGCCGCCCCTCCTGGGAAGTGAGGAACCCCTCTGCCGGGCCACCACCCCGTCTGGGAGGTGTGCCCAACAGCTCATTGAGAACGGGCCAGGATGACAATGGTGGCTTTGTGGAATAGAAAGGCGGGAAAGGTGGGGAAAAGATTGAGAAATCGGATGGTTGCCGTGTCTGTGTAGAAAGAAGTAGACATGGGAGACTTTTCATTTTGTTCTGCACTAAGAAAAATTCCTCTGCCTTGGGATCCTGTTGATCTGTGACCTTACCCCCAACCCTGTGCTCTCTGAAACATGTGCTGTGTCCACTCAGGGTTAAATGGATTAAGGGCGGTGCAAGATGTGCTTTGTTAAACACATGCTTGAAGGCAGCATGCTCGTTAAGAGTCATCACCAATCCCTAATCTCAAGTAATCAGGGACACAAACACTGCGGAAGGCCGCAGGGTCCTCTGCCTAGGAAAACCAGAGACCTTTGTTCACTTGTTTATCTGCTGACCTTCCCTCCACTATTGTCCCATGACCCTGCCAAATCCCCCTCTGTGAGAAACACCCAAGAATTATCAATAAAAAAATAAATTAAAAAAAAAAAAAAGAAAAGTTATTGTAGTTATTATTTTTGATTGATTCATCATTTAGTACTTCTACCTAGCATAAGAGTAGTTTACACATGAGAGTTACAGTGTTATAATATTCTGTTTTTCTGTGTACTTACTATTAGTAAGTTTTGTATCTTCATGTGATTATTTCTTGCTCATTAATGTTCTTTTCTCTCATTGAAGTACTCCTTCTAGCATTTCTTATAGGATAGGTCTGGTATTGATGAAATCCCTCAGCTTTTGTTTGTCTGGGAAAGTCTTTATTTCCCCTTCATGTTTGAAGGATATTTTCACCAGCTATACTATTCTAGAATAAATGTGTGTGTGTGTGTGTGTGTGTGTGTGTGCGCGTTTTCCTTCAGCACTTTAAATATGTCATGCTACTTTCTTCTGGTCTGTAAGGTTTTTCACTGAAAAGTCTGCTGCCAGATGTATTGGAGCTCCATTGTATGTTGTTTGTGTCTTTTCTCTTGCTTTTAGGATCCTGACTTTATCCTTAACCTTTGGGAGTTTGGTTATTAAATACCTTGAGATAGTCTTCTTTGGATTAAATCTGCTTTGTGTTCTATAATCTTCATGTACTTAAATATTGATATCTTTCTCTAGGTTTGAGAAGTTCTCTGTTATTATCCCTTTGAATAAACTCCTATTCCTGTTTCTTTCTCTATCCCCTCTTTGCCCTTTTGAGGCTGTTTGCTAGATCTTATAGGCATGCTTCATTGCTGTTCATTCTTCTTTCTTTTGTCTCCTCTAATTGTATATGTTCAAATAACCCATCTTCAAGCTCACTAATTCTTTCTTATGCTTAATCAGTTCTGCTATTAAAGGACTCTGCTGCATTCTTCAGTATGTCAATTGCATATTTCAGCTCCAGAATTTCTGCTTGATTATTTTTAATTATTTCAATCTCTTTGTTAAATTTATCTGATAGAATTCTGAATTCTAACTCCGTGTTATTTTGAATTTCTTTGCATATCCTCAACACAGCTATTTTGAATTCTCTGAAAAAATCACAGATCTCTGTTTCTCCAGGATTGGTCCCTGGTGCCTTATTTAGTTCACTTGGTGAGGTCATGTTTTCCTGGATGGTGTTGATGGTAGTAGATGTTCTTCAGTGTCTGTTGAGTTGAAGAGTTAGGTATTTATTGTAGTCTTCACTGTCTGGACTTATTTGTAGCCATCCTTCTTGGGAAGGGTTTCAGATATTTGAAAAGACTTTGGTGTTGTGATCTTCTTTAGGTGGCACTCCAAGCCCAGTAACACTGTGGTTCTTACAGACTTGTAGAGGTACACCTTGATCATCTTTGACAAAAACCAGGAGAATTCTCTGGATTACCAGGCAGAGACTCTTGTTCTCTTCCCTTACTTTCTCCCAAATACATAGAGTCTCTCTCTCTCTGTTCTGAGCCACCTAAAGCTGGGGGTGGAGTGACACAAGCACCCCTGTGCCCAACACCGCTATGACTGTGCTGGTTCACACCTGAAGCCAGGCCAATGCTGGGTCTCACCTAAGGCCTGTGTAACCACTCCCTGGCTACTTCCTATGTTCACCCAAGGCCTTAGGGCTCTACAATCAGCAGGTGGCAAAGCCAGCTGGGCCTGCATCCTTTCCTTCAGGGAAGCAAGCTCCGTAGGCGGGTCCAGAAGTGCTGTCCAGGATTCAAGGGACTAGAGTTAAAACCCTTAAAAATCTACCTGTTATTCTATTGTACAGTAGCTAAGTTGTCACTCAAACCACAGGACACAGTCCTTCCTACTCTTCCCTCCTGTTTCCATTGGCAGAGGAGCCTAACCTCATAGCCACTGCTGCTCCAGTCCATAAGGGGTACTGCCAGTCTACTGATGATATTCTCTTAAGGCTCAAGGATCCTTAAGTCAGCTTGTGTGTATGCTGCCTGGCCTGGGACTCATTCTTCAGGGCAGTGGGCTCCCCTCTGCACCAGGGTAGGTCCAGAAATGTCATCCAAGAACCGAGTCCTGGAATCAGGGACCCCAAGAGCCCCCTTGGTGGTTTACTCCACTGTGGCAGTGTTGCTACATAAGGTACAAGACAAAGTCCCCTTTTCTTTTCCCTCTGCTTTTCTCAAGCAAGAGGAGTTTTGCTCAATAGTCACCACAGCTGGTAATGTGCTGAGCTCACTTGAAGCCACCAAGTCTCAGAGACTCACCAAGGTTCTCAACGTAGTACTTGGATATCACTGCTGGTTATTCAGGTCCCAAAGACACTTCAATTAGCATGTAATGAAGGCCTTCAAGGCAGGGGGTTACCTTCTGGCCTAGAATGTGTCTAGAAATGTTGTCTAAGAGCTAGATCCTGGAATGGGGACCTCGTGACTATGACTGGTGCCCTATTCTACTGTGGCTGATCTGGTATCTAGGAAGCAAGACAAAGCCTTCCCCTCTCTTCCTTCTCCTCTTCTCAAGTAAAAGGAAAGGGTGTCTTTTGGAGTCATGAGCTGTGAAGCCTGTAGTTAAGGGAGGGGTGACACTAGCACTCCCTTGGCTGTCCCAGCTGGTGTCTCAATATGTCGTCTGCTCCCCCTAGTTCACTGTCTCTGGGCCTAGTTCAGCTCTAGGATTCACCTAAGAGTTACAGTCCTTATGGCCTAGACTGCCTTTCAAGTTTACTTAGAGACCAAGAGCACTTTGACTCTCAGTGGCAAGGTCTGCAGGCACTCAGTCTTGGACCACTAAGATCTACGGTTCCCCCTCTGACTAGGGTTGGTTTAAGTGCTCCCTAAGTGTGAAGGCATCAGCTGAATTTGGTCTGGTTCTTCTTCCTGCTCTAACAGAATAGCACTGAGTTCAGTGCCTCGAAATTGCTGTGTTCTCCCTCTTCTAGTGCCCAGAGAAGCTCTCTGCACCACACCGCTGCTGCCAGGTGTCAGGGAGGCATGGCATTGGCAATTCAGGACAATTTGTTTTGCATCTCTTCAGTTTCTCTTTCAGTGATATGAAGTTAAAACTAGGTACTATGAATGCTCACCTGAGTTTCTGGTTCTTAGGAAGGTGTTTTTGTTTTGTTTTTTCTTTTTCTGTGTAGATAGCTGTTACCTGGGTGTCTTTGCAGGGGCTGTACGGGGAACTGTCATTGGAGCTTTCTATTCTGCCATCTTGCTCTGCCTCTAAAATTTATTTATTTATTTATTTATTTATGTATTTTTAGATGGAGTTTCGCTCTGTCACCCAAGCTGGAGTGCAATGGTGCAATCTCAGCTCACTGCAACCTCCGACTCCCGGGTTCAAGCGATTCTCCTGTCTCAGCTTCCTGAGTAGCTGGGATTACAGGCGAGCACCACAACGCCCAGCTAATTTTTGGTATTTTTAGTAGAGACGGGGTTTCACCATGTTGGCCAGGCTGGTCTCAAACTCCTGGCCTCAGGTGATCCACCTGCCTCGGCCTCTCTAAGTGCTGGAATTACAGGCGTGAGCCACCGTGCCCGGCCTAAATTTCCTTTTTCTAAATCCTCTTAGGATGTGTTAGCTTGTTAATTCCATGGCTTGATACATTTCATTAGCTTTGGGTAATTATCTTATTATCTCTGTACATTTTGTTCTGCCATAATTTCTTTCTCTTCTCCTCTGGGATACAAATAACACATATTAGAAATTATTGTTGTGTTCTCTGTAAATCTTTCTTATCTTCTGTGTTTTACTCATTTCATTTTCCTTTGTTAATTTGGATGTTTTTCCTGATCTATATTCCAGTTCATTCTTCTTCTTAGTTGTCTCTAATATGTTCTCAAACCATCAGTAAAATAAATAATATTTCTTTTTGTATTTTTTAAGTTCTACTTCTATCCAATTCTCTTTGACTTCAATGTACTTTCTATTTTCTTGCTAAAATAGAAAGTTTATAATTTTATATCCATTAGTTTTTTTGGCCTGTATATAATGATTCCATTATCTGGAGAGAATATAATCTTTCTGCTGTTATTTACTCTGATTCTCATTTATGTCATTATATATCATCATATGTCTAGATTATTGCTGATTATGTTCTAGACTTTGAATCAAAAAGTCATTATTTTACAAAACTATTGAGTCCCCGAATGATGGATGTCATCTTCTTTCTGAGAGAATTTATATTTGTTTCTGCCAATGCCTAAAAAGACTATAAATCTGGCATCATCTTCATTCAAAATTAGACTTGAGATATACAAGGCCACTCAGATGATTCAAATGTGGGCTGTGATCTGGTAAGGGAAGGTTTTCTTATAGTTTACCTTTTTTCCTAGAGTGAAGTTCTGTAAGTTTCCAGTCTTTACACTGGGAGATTTACCAAGGCTTCACTTTGAGTATAATCTGGACTTTAATTTGTATTTCTTCTAGGCAAGTGAGGCCATGAAAAGTGTTGTTTAGCCTCTCAACTCTCTCATCTAAATCAGTAAAAGATAAATAGCAAAAACTACTTATAGCCAATTTACTTGACCTGACCTCTGTTTGTCTCAATTTTCTTTACTATAAAATGAGATACATATTAGAACAAATCTCCTAAGATTGTGGTGAAGATTAAATGAATCAACAATGTAAAACATGTAGTGTCTAGCCCATATCAAGTGCATAAATTATTTTCTACCAATATAATTTATAATGTTAGCTCCTCTGAAGTAATTTTGTTAGTAGAAGTTTACTACTCTTGCCTGGACAGCTGCCTCTGTAAATCAGACTGGTTTATCAATTTTATTTCACAAATATTTACTGAATAATTTTATGAATTAAAGCGCTTGTTAAGATAGAAAGAAGCAGCACCTGTCGCTATGGGTTTTTTACAATATCAGGAAAAATTAATATACAGAGTAATGAGGACCACATGGGTAAATCAGCAAAGGCATTAAAACATTTATTAAGAAACTTCTGAGAGGCTTGGTTTCTTGATGATGCCGTCCAAATAAAAGTAAACTTGATATTTAAAATACTCAGTCTTATTTGAGGAAATAATTTATTACAGTGAAATAAAATTTTGGTGGTAAGACCTAAATCAATTGCAATTAGGTAACATATACAAACTAAAATATATTTTGTTTAAAATGTATAAATACATTTGAGTAATGGAGTTTTGTTTTGTTTGGTTGGTTTTGGTTTTGCATTTCCTTTGACTCTACTTTACTAAGCATTAAAGATTCTTTAGTAAATACAAAAAGTTAAGTTAGGTAAGAAAGTAAATACCAATTATGATTAGTTCAAACAGCTAGAGATACATTAAAGCCATATATTAATAAAACATCACATTAGAATAAAGAGTAGTCCTGAAGGAACAAAATCATCATGATTAAGGGGGATTTCATTGAAATGTTAACTTATTAGAATCAGATTCTGATATTTCCTGGTATTAGGCATGGTATAATTTTTAATGCTGTGATGTCTTATTCTTTAGAATGATTATCCACTGAATATTTTGATCCTACTCTACATGCTATATTTCCAACACAATGAATATTCCAATTGTCTCTATGCAAATTGCCTCGTCAATATCCATAGTGAGGAAATCAGCATTCTTTGTTAGCAGAGCTCTAAGCATCCACTTCAATTTTACAGTTAAATGAACTAACATAAATGTTTATGTCACCTGTATGACAAAAAATAAAAATGTATTCATGTATTCTCTTACACTGTATTTTTAGTAAGTTTCCTGAAATTGTTTGTGATTTTAAAGTAGTTAATTGTGAGAGGTAGGACACTCAAGGTCCTCTACACTTCAGTACCTCCCTAACTTGGAAACCAATATAATTTATAATGTTAGCTCCTCCTCTGCATTACAAGGAACCTCTATCCCTAGTATACAAGATCTAACATGTTTTGAATAACACTAGGAAGGACATAACAATGATGACTGGAGCTGGCCCACCCAGAGTGTGAGCAATTAGAAGGAAAATTATCTGAACAAATGTAAAAACATAATAAAAGCAATCAAATTGTATTGGCAATTCTAAATAATATCAGTAATAGTATTCTCTAGCCCCAAATTCTTTTGTTAGGATAAACTCTAAATAATTACTGTGTTTATTGCTGTGACTTAATATGCATGTAAGCTTTAAAATAGCAGAGTTGCATTTATTATCCTTCAATAAAAATTAAATATATATTATATATAAATTTGCAGAACTGCCATTTACATAGTCTTCCTCTGATATACAAAGATATTGCTACATAAGATGACTTTGAGCACATTTGGCTTTGAACCATTTCTTAACTGAATAGTTTTGAAATCATAAAGGTTTCAAATTGTTCAGGCTTATTCAAGCTCACTTCAGGTACTTCTGCACTCCTTTAGTCTTTTGCTCATTAGCCTATAGAACTCCTGTTTTTACTGTGCATTGAATCACATTATTAATTGTTTATAAGTATATTTTTCGTATTTCTTCTGGTGGATGCTAGTTGCTTCCTTCTCTGTATTGTCCTATCACACTTGATAGCATTCTTTGCATATTATTTATGACTAATAAATATTTATTAAATCAATATATATAAGTTCAAGTGAATGGAATAATTTCCTTCATGTATCAACCATGTGTTCTTTATACTCTAAAACACACAACATAAAGGTAATCCTGTTGAAAGGAGACACAAATTCTACAGGCACAAAATACTATTGGCATAATTCAAATTATTATTTTGAAAATTTTATCATATGAAAGAACTATTTGTTGGCAAATATTGTCTGTATTTTCTCTGCAAATGCACAATACGATTAAAATGTCCATTCCTCAAAATAACATTAGAAACCACACTCAGGATGACAATAACCAGTTGGGGAAACTTCTCTGGAAATTCTTATGAATGCTTCCTACTGTCCCATCTTCCAGCTTAGATTTTTATTAAAAAAAAATTTTGAATGCATTTTGTTATTCGATCCACCTTTTTTTTTTTTTTTTTTTTTTGAGATGGAATCTCACTCTGTCACCCAGGCTGGAGTGCAGTGGCCTGATCTTGGCTCACTGCAACCTTTGCCTCCCGGGTTCAAGCGATTCTCCTGCCTCAGCCTCCCGAGTAGCTGGCACTACAGGCACGCACCACTACTCCCTGCTAATTTTTTTTAATTTTTTATTTTTAGAAGAGACAGGGTTTCACCATGTTGGCCAAGCTGGACTTGATCTCCTGACCTCGTGATCCGCCCGCCTCACCCTCCCAAACTGCTGGAATTACAGGTGTGAGCCACCACGCCTGGCCCGAATCCATCCATTTCTTAGCGGGATGTTCTAAAGGTGCTTGCTTTACTGAAAGAACAGAGAATAGTTTAACATAACCACAATTAACTCTGCATGCTTCTGTTTTTAATTAATGCTAAACACAACCCCCTAAAAATACTAATTATTTTTAAGTTTATGAGCTGTGAATTAATTACAATATTTAAGAGTACTGACTAATCAGAATAACTAGAGGAATAACGGGGAACTTCTAAGACTGAAAGGAATAAAATAATAAGCACCAGTATTTTTAAATTTTGAAATATTTGGCTCTGAATAAGAAAAATTACATTGATGTAGTCAAGAAGATATTTTCCAATATGCTTCACACATTAGTAAGAAGGGTTAACTTTTGTTGGCAATAGTTTTATGTCAGAGACTGTTTTAATTGCTTTATTTGCATATCTTATTTAATCCTTATTAACAATTCTATGAAATGGGAAGGTTACTATTCTCATTTCATGGAGCAAATGCAGATGAGAGAAAGTGAAGAACTTGCCCATAGCAACACAGTTCTAAGTAGCCGGTATGAATTCAGTCAGTCAGACTCTAAAGCTAAACATGTTCTATAATCATTTTGCAATAAATATGATGCCAGAATTAACTGCTAAGATTTCCCAGGGTCACACATCAGCGATAGGAATTTAGTTTGTAGGCTGGGTGTGGTGGCTCACACATGTAATCCCAGCACTTTGGGAGGCAGAGGTGGGTGGATCATGAGGTCAGGCATTCGAGACCAGCCTAGCCAAATGGTGAAAACCCATCTCTACTAAAAATACAAAAAGTAGCCAGGCGTGGCAAGTGCCTGTAGTCCCAATTACTCAGGAGGCTGAGGCTGGAGGATCACTTGAACCTGGGAGGTGGAGGTTGCAGTGAGCCGAGATATCGCCAAAGCACTCCACTTCCGAAAAAAAAAAAAGTTAGTATTTGTATTATATTTATTTATCATGGGAAAAATAGTAATCAGTCATTGCAAATACTGAGTAGAAATCATTAATTAGATTCCAATACTTCTGTGACACATTAAAATTGGAAGTCAAGATATAGTGGATGTCTGGGTAGCTGTAGGCAATGGCAGCTCTCAGGTTCACCTCTGCAAATATTTTGTCCAAAATAAAACAGAACAGAAAGAAGAACAAGTAAAACATACACACACATATACAAATATGCCATCCACGTAATGTAAGGACAAAGAATGCATAAACTTCAAAATAATGATGATTAAAAAGTAGAAAAAATAATCACACTAAATTTCATGTAGCAACCACTCAGACACTATCTTATCACATATCTTTATATAGAACAAATATAGGCCAAGAAAAATTAAGAGAAGATGAAGCTAACAATAGGTCTATGGTTAACATAACACCACAGGTAGAAAACATGTCTACTGTAAGTGGGAAAACACAGAAGGAAGTCCCAAGAGAGCAGGGCACAGATGGTGAAGAAACTGAAAAGTGCAGGTAATTTGAAATATCATTCTTTGAAAACCATAGCTTCTCAGGGTCAGGTATGTGGGGTGAACAAAAACGATGAGAGGCACTCCACTCATTGACAATTGGGTGGAGAAGAAGTAATGAAGCAAAAAAAGAAAATTTATGGTTCTACAAGACAAAAGAGAATAAAAATAAGAGGACCTAAGGAGTTCTCTTTGCCATACTTCCAAGTTAATGATGATGAAGCAGGAAAAAAAAAAAAACAAATCAACAACAACAAAAAAACCCAGGACAATACTCCAAACTAAATTAAATGCTATCAAGCAAACATTTACGGATTTAAGAAATACTTGGGCTGAAATGCAAATTAAAAAAAATGGGTAAAAACCAAGATGAAAAAAAGAACTTAAGAAAGAAATGGAATAAAGGACAAAATTATCTCAAATATAATTACTAAAGTACATTGTGACCAAGGGATAATAGGCTCAAATGAAAATTTAATAAGATCATTGAAGGAAGGCAAGCAAATGCCCAGGAGAATAAAATGGAGCTAAGAGAAGGACTTAAATGAGCCAGAAAAAAAGTGGTGGGCATATAAGACAAGCAAAGAATAAATAATATTTGTATAACTGTAGTCTGTGAAAAATAAACAAAATAGTTGGGCAGCATGAAGATTCAAAACTAGTCAAAGAAAACTGCAGTAATCAACTATCTGAACATAACCATTGAAGGGAATGTGTATTTTAGTAAATTAACTCAAAACTATCAATTCTGAAAAATATCCTAGAAAAACTATTTGGCTGCAACAATGCAGAATAAGTTTTTACAGCCTCCAAGCAAAAAGGATCAGATAATTTACAAGGGCAAAATAATTAGAATGACATCAAGTTTTTCAAATCAGCATACAAAACAAGACAATGATAGGATTTTTTTTTTTTTTTAATATAGAGCATCACTCTTCTTGCCCAGGCTGGAGTGCAATGGTGTGATCTCAGCTTACTGCAACCTCCATATCCTGGGTTCAAGCAATTCTCCTGCCTCAGCCTCCTAAGTAGCTAGGATTACAGGGATGAAGAATATATTTTATTTATTTGTTTATTTTTATTTTTTGAGATGAAGTCTCACTCTATTGCCCAGGCTGTAGTGCAATGGCATGATCTTGGCTCACTGCAACCTCCGCCTCACAGGTTCAAGCAATTCTCCTGCCTCAGCCTCCTGAGTAGCTGGGATTACAGGCACTCATCACCACGCTTGGCTAATTTTTGTATTTTAGTAGAGACAGGGTTTCACCATGTTAGCCAGGCTGGTCTTGAACTCCTGACCTTGTGATCTGCTCGCCTTGGCCTCTCAAAGTGCTAGGATTACAGGCATGAGCCACCGCACCTGGCTGAAGCAGAGATTTTATATTGAGCTAAATTTCTTCAATTATCAATGCTATAGAATAACAGTTTTTAAATCTGCAAGAACTTAGGAAATACTGTATGTATGAACTCTTCTTGGGAATCTACTAGAGGATGTTTGTATTAGCCAAGAGTTGATCATGAGAACTTCAACAACAGGGTTGCTGCTGAGCATTATATATATGCATATGTGTACATGCATACATATATACACATAGATATGTGTGTGCCTGCACACAAGAGTAAAAAAGATAAGGGTTGAATACTAATGTAAAAAAAAATTATATGTGATGATGATAGAAACATTGCAACTAAAAATGGAAAAGAGGAGGACCAAAAAAAGGAGAAAGTAGAAGAATTTCATTGATTATTGTGTAAACCCAAAATATTCTAAGCCTCCCAACCAAATGAGGGACCATACCCTCAGCCAAGGGCATTCCAAAGATAACCTGATACACTAGTTGACAACATGATGGGAAGTGGGCATGTGATATGCCTCATTATACCCTCCTCTCTTTGGAATTCAGACACACCTGACCAGCACTAACATGAAAACAGAGATCTTTTTTTCATGTGTCTTTTGGCTACATAAATGTCTTCTTTTGAGAAGTGTCTGTTCATATCCTTCACCCACTTTTTGATGGGGGTTATTTGTTTTTTTCTTGTAAATTTGTTTGAGTTCATTGTAGATTCTGATATTAGCCCTTTGTCAGATGAGTAGATTGCAAAAATTTTCTCCCATTCTCTAGGTTGCCTGTTCACTCTGATGGTAGTTTCTTTTGCTGTGCAGAAACTCTTTAGTTTAATTAGATCCCATTTGTCAATTTTGGCTTTCATTGCCATTGCTTTTGGTGTTTTAGCCATGAAGTCCTTGCCCACGCCTATGTCCTGAATGGTATTGCCTAGGTTTTCTTCTAGGGTTTTTATGGTTTTAGGTCTAACATTTAAGTCTTTAATCCATCATGAATTAATTTTTGTATAACCTGTAAGGAAGGGATCCAGTTTCAGCTTTCTACATATGGCTAGCCAGTTTTCCCAGCACCATTTATTAAATAGGGAATCGTTTCCCCATTTCTTGTTTTTGTCAGGTGTGTCAAAGATCAGATAGTTGTAGATATGTGGCATTATTTCTGAGAGCTCTGTTCTGTTCCATTGTTCTATATCTCTGTTTTGGTACCAGTACCATGCTGTTTTGGTTACTGTAGCCTTGTAGTATAGTTTGAAGTCAGGTAGCATGATGCCTCCAGCTTTGTTCTTTTGGCTTAGGATTGACTTGGTGATGCGGGCTCTTTTTTGGTTCCATATGAACTTTAAAGTAGTTTTTTCCAATTCTGTGAAGAAAGTCATTGTCAGCTTGATGGGGATGGCATTGAATCTATAAATTACCTTGGGCAGTATGGTCATTTTCATGATATTGACTCTTCCTGCCCATGAGCATAGAATGTTCTTCCATTTGTTTGTATCCTCTTTTATTTCATTGAGCAGTGGTTTGTAGTTCTCCTTGAAGAGGTCCTTCACATCCCTTGTAAGTTGGATTCCTAGGTATTTCATTCTCTTTGAAGCAATTGTGAATGGGAGTTCACTCATGATATGGCTCTCTGTTTGTCTGTTATTGGTGTATAAGAATGCTTGTGATTTTTGCACATTGATTTTGTGTCCTGAGACTTTGCTGAAGTTGCCTATCAGCTTAAGGAGATTTTGGGCTGAGACAATGGGGTTTTCTAGATATACAATCATGTCATCTGCAAACAGGGACAATTTGACTTCCTCTTTTCCTAATTGAATACCCTTTATTTCCTTCTCCTGCCTAATTGCCCTGGCCAGAACTTCCAACACTATGTTGAATAGGAGTGGTTAGAGAGGGCATCCCTGTCTTGTGCAAGTTTTTAAAGGGAATGCTTCCAGTTTTTGCCCATTCAGTATGATATTGGATGTGGGTTTTTCATAGATAGCTCTTATGATTTTGAGTTATGTCCCATCAATACCTAATTTATTGAGAGGTTTTAGCATGAAGGGCTGTTGAATTTTGTCAAAGGCGTTTTCTACATCTATTGAGATAATCATGTGGTTTTTGTCTTTGGTTCTGTTTATATGCTGGATTACGTTTATTGCTTTGTGTATGTTGAACCAGCCTTGCATCCCAGGGATGAAGCCCACTTGATCATGGTAGATAAGCTTTTAGATGTGCCGTTGGATTCAGTTTGCCAGTATTTTATTGAGGTTTTTTGCATTGATGTTCATCAGGGATATTGGTCTAAAATTCTCTTTTTTTGTTGTGTCTCTGCCAGGCTTTGGTATCAGGATGATGCTGGCCTCATAAAATGAGTGAGGGAGGATTCCCTCTTTTTCTATTGATCAGAATAGTTTCAGAAGGAATGGTACCAGCTCCTCCTTGTACCTCTGGTAGAGTTCGGCTGTGAATCCATCTGGTCCTGGACTTTTTTTGGTTGGTAAGCTATTAATTATTGCCTCAATTTCAGAGCCTGTTATTGGTCTATTCAGAGATTCAACTTCTTCCCGGTTTAGTCTTGGGAGGGTGTATGTGTTGAGGAATTTATCCATTTCTTCTAGACTTTCTAGTTTATTTGCATAGAGGTGTTTATAGTATTCTCTGATGGTAGTTTGTATTTCTGTGGGATCGGTGGTGATATCCCCTTTATCATTTTTTATTGCATCTATTTGATTCTTCTCTCTTTTCTTCTTTATTAGTCTTGCTAGCGGTCTATCAATTTTGTTGATCTTTTCAAAAAACCAGCTTCTGGATTCATTGATTTTTTAAATGGTTTTTTGTGTCTCTGTCTCCTTCAGTTCTGCTCTGATCTTCACTGGCCATCAAAGAAGTGCAAATCAAAACCACACTGAGATACCATCTCACACCAGTTAGAATGGCAGTCATTAAAAAGTCAGGAAACAACAGGTGCTGGAGAGGATGTGGAGAAATAGGAACACTTCTACACCGTTGGTGGGACTGTAAACTAGTTCAACCATTGTGGAAGTCAGTGTGGTGATTCCTCAGGGATCTAGAAGTAGAAATACCATTTGACCCAGCCATCCCATTACTGGGTATATACCCAAAGGATTATAAAACATGCTGCTATAAAGACACATGCACATGTATGTTTATTGCAGCACTATTCACAATAGCAAAGACTTGGAACCAAGCCAAATGTCCAACAATGATAAACTGGATTAAGAAAATGTGGCACATATACACCATGGAATACTATGCAGCCATAAAAAATGGTGAGTTCATGTCCTTTGTAGGGACATGGATGAAGCTGGAAACCATCATTCTCAGCAAACTATAGCAAGGACAAAAAAACCAAACGCTGCATGTTCTCACTCATAGGTGGGAATTGAACAATGAGAACACTTGGACACAGGAAGGGGAACATCACACACCGGGGGCTGTTGTGTTGTGGGCGGAGGGGAGAGGGATAGCATTAGGAGATATACTTAATGTTAAATGACGAGTTAATGGGTGCAGCACACCAACATGGCACATGTATACATATGTAACAAACCTGGACGTTGTGCACATGTACCCTAAATCTTAAAGTATAATAAAAAAAGGTTTAAATTCTAACAAGAAAATATCAATGTTTTGAAGTATCCAGCTCCCCCCCGCAAAAAAAAAGTCAGACTAATAGTTATTTTTGGTGTGAGGGAGGGTGTTGTGCTCCAGATGGGGCACGAGAAAGAGTCCTCAGGGGTGTAGGCAAAGTTCTATTTCCAGACCTGGGTGGTGGTTACAAAGGTGTTCAACTCAATAAATCTTTAAGCCAAAAAAAAAAAAAAAAAACAGAGATCTTAAGACTGATAGAGCAGACTCTTTAAGTCTGATAAGAAACATTTTCTTCTATTGATTCTGTCTGCATAATGGGAGACTTGGTCTCCACAGCTCCTTATCTTAACCCAGACATTCCCTTCTACTGATTCCAGGTCTTGAGACAATAACTTAACTCTTTAAACCAATTGCCAAATAGAAAATTGTTGAATTCATGTATGACCTGGACCCCCCTGCTTAGAGTTGTCCTGCCTTTTGGGACTCAACCAATGTATAGCTTAGATATATTAATTGATGTCATATGTCCTCCTAAAATGTTTAAAATTAAGCTGCAGCCAAACCACCTTGGGCACCTGTTCTTGGGATGTCCTGGGGCTATATCATGGGCCATTGTTCACTCACATTTGGCTCAGAATAAATATCTTCAAATATTTTACAGAGTGAATCTTTTTGTCAACATTGTATGAGCAATAAGTTAAAGAAGAATATTTAAAACTGAAAAACTAAATTGTAAAATGTTAAGTAGTAAAGTGGGACTAAGAGCATTAAAAATCATGTAAATACTAGAGTAAAAAATAGAGTATAAAAATACTAACCATTAAAATTATGTAAATAAAAAGGGAATTATTAGAACCAAATATAAACCTTTTTAAATATCAAAACTTAGCTAAGTCAAAAATAATAAATACACATCTTACAAAGAAACATAGCAAATATGTCATAATACACATAACTCAATGAAAAGTTTTAAAATTTAACTCACAATGAAACAACTAAATTTTGTATCTTGTACTAAATACATTTAAAACAAATGAATTGTGAAAGGCTAAAAATAAAGACAAAGTTATACAGGTAAATGGAGACAATAAAAAAGCATGTATCATTATTTTGAATAGGCATCAGGCAAAAAAGATATGTTAAACATGACAAAGAAAAGCACATTTTAATCTAAAAGCCACAATTCATAAGGAAGATTAAGCATAAACCTATAAGAGATGCTAGATGATGATTAAAGATACATTAGTAATGGGAGATTTTTATATAACACTCACAACACAAGATAAATCAAGTAGGTGAAAAATAAAAAGTAGATAGAAGACCTAATCATTATAGTCAACACAGTAGATTTTGTGGATATATATCAAACTTTTATCCCCTGGTAATTGAAAATATACCTCCTCCCTAATTTCTCAAGTGTCAGTTACAAATTTTATCATATATTAAGTCACAAAAAATCATTAAATTCCACAAATTTGGTTATTAAAATAAGCTCTAATCATAATATAACAGAACAAGAAATTACTAATATAAGTGTGAGTTATTGACTAAACCAAAACAAAAAGGAAATTAAGAGCCTTCTAATAAAAAGCTCCACAACATTAAAAGCTCCACAATAAAACACCACAGTAGGAATTGTTTTTTGGCCACAGTCATCAACGGACACAACTGTGTGTGTTAAGCAGAATATTGTGAAATTAAATAATTCAAATTTAAAATAATTCAACTTAAAGCTGTTAGAACTTTAAATTATTCTGTACCTTGAGACAAATGTGGCTATGCAGCTTGAGTCACATGGCATGCAGATGCAACTTCTGCATTTATTTTCCTGTAAATAGTTAAGAACAAACAGAGCCAGAGGGAAGACCCCCTCAGATCACCACTCCTCTTCATGAAGTAATCAAGTAGTCTTCCAGGGAATTAGCTATCTATAACCAATCAAATCACTGTGGTGTTTGCACTGGTCTTGGATGGAAAATGTTGTAATCTTGCTAAAACTTTTATGTAAGAGAAGCTTTAAGTTCTCCACTTTTGAAAGCTTACTCCCAAATTGTACTCAAATAAACTCGGTACTAAATCATAAGTTCTGAATCTCATGATATAAGGTTGACAGTATTTACGTAGTCTCAAATATTTCCCCAGAACATCCTTAATAATTGCAAAGGGGATAATGTAACTTTTTAGTGGAGAAACCTGTATGACACCACTTTTACAAAGTGATGAAAATTAATACCAAGAATGAAGGAAGTCAATATCATGTTGACATGATGGCCTGAGAAAGGTGACACATTACTTTAGTTGGATTCTTTTCAAAAGTGCATAAGCTAAATTTGGTCATGAGACTAGATGAGAAAAGATCAAATGATGGGCTTTTAGAAAAATAACTGCTCAGAACTCTTAAAAATAGGAGAGTCATGGAAGACAAAGACTGATAAATTATCCTAGATAAAAGGAGACACAACTATATGCAATGTGTGTCCTAGATTCAATTCTGATGTACAAAAATAATTTTAGAAGGACAGTTGATAAAATTCCAGTAAGGCATGTAGACTAGTTGGTAGAATTATGTCACTGTTAATTTCCTGGTTTTGTTAACTGTGATTATGGAAAATGTTAGCATTCGAAGTAGCTGGGCGTTAGGCATGTGGACATTCTTTCTAACACATTTTGCAAATTTATTGTAGGTCGGATTTTATTTCAAAACAAAGAATGAACTGAAAACATAATGAAGAATATAAACTTAAGCCAAAAAAATTGTCAGATTTTAAAATTATTTTACACTGTGAAAAAACACATTTGGGTATGATTTAATATATCCATACATACAGAAGTTTTGCTTTGTAAAGGACAAAAATTTAAATTTTTACCAAAATATCACTTCAGGTTTTTTGTTTGTTCTTTGCCAGTTTTTTCTGGTGTGTGTGTGTGTGTGTGTGTGTGTGTGTGTGTGTGTAATTTATAAGGAACAATGGAAAATTTGAAAGCATAATAAAAAGTGTTACTTACTCACTTGCCTATAAAAGAAACCCCTTAAAGGTGAGAAGAAATATTTTATTTGGGGTAGTTGTATCTTATGAATCTTTATTTAAATCAGTCATTGTGAATTAAAAAAAAACTATACAGTTCTGAAAACAAATTGAACTACCAACTTAAGAAGCAACAGTATCTTAAATCTATATTTTAAAAGGTGTTAATAAAGGGTTATCTCTAGCTGACAAATTACTGTATGCCATCTTTAAGCCAGTTAATTATGCTGGAAAACAGCCTTTGTCTCATTTATACTGACAACCCACCAGCAGGTAATTGAGTTTGGCTTCCATTGTTTCTCTTAAGATTTAGAGGATATTTTAAACTGTGCATTATACTGTGATATTAAAGTTGATGCAATGCAATTCCATACACGTAAAATTCAGCCAGAGGATTTAAAAGTAAATCACTGGAAATAAAATGAAGATGATTTTAAACAAAGCTTTTTATTGGCTTTTTAAGAACCGTGAACTTACAGTAAAATCTAAGGTGCACAAGGCAAACTATGAGCATGTAAAGCTTGTCTACATGGCCAGGCTTTTAAAATTAGAAGAATGTAAATCAATATTTACCGTGAAGTTAAGAGATATTCCCAAGGTGAAACCATTCTGGGTAAAACAACACAATGACAGTCTATAAAATATATTAAATGTGTCAGTAATGCTAACCATATAACCAGAACACCATCTACCTGCACGTGTAAAAGACAACAGCAATTCATTATCATCCTGACATAATTATTACCAGGACTGAGGGTGAACAACACCTGCCAAGCATATATCAAAACACATCATATTTTAACTTGAACATAAAGATAATATGCACATTTGAACAGTTTTTCTTTTTCTTTTTTTTTTTTTTTTAAGACAATCTTGCTCTGTGGCCCAGGCTGGAGTGCAATGGCACAATCTCGGCTCACTGCAGCTTCCACCTCCAGGGTTCAAGTAATTCTCAATGCCTCAGCCTCCTGAGTAGCTGAAATTACAGGTGTGCAACACCATGCCTGGCTATTTTTGTTTTTTTTCCTGTGTTTTTAGTTGAGACAAGGTTTTGCCATATTGGCCGGGCTGGTCTTGTACTCATGACCTCAATTGATCTGCCTGCCTCGGCCTCCCAAAGGTCTCGGATTACAGACATGAACCAATGTGGTCAGCCACATTTTTTCTTAATGTAGAAAAATTTCAACCTAAAACTTAAGGAAAATTACCATTTCAATTAATTATCAATTAGAAATATTGAATACTCTCATGCCAATAATTCCATGAAAGCTTGGACCAAATTATATTATATATATGTTTTAGAAAAATGGGATCATAGGAGGAATGTATTTTTAAAAATTTCTTTTTGAGGATCAATTTTTTAAAATATATGGAGAAAAAAGCAGCAACGTTTATAAGGATATAAAATTGTGAAAGACAAGCAGTTAGGTCATTTAAAAAAATAAATTTCTATATGGTAAAGCTGAATTAAATTGCTCAGAGTTCTTTAGCATGGTGTCACTCTTGGTAGGGTGAACATGTCTCTCAATTGCTTGTTGTGTTGTGCCAGCGTAATTATTAAAAGTGCCCTCTTTTGTTCTCAGAATGTCCCAGTTTAGAAAATAAGTTAGTTATAAATCTTGATGTTATAACCCCTGAATAAGACAGACAGTAACTCATCGGACTTGAAGAGTTGCCAACTAATTTGTAGAGACACCCTATTACCATTCTCATTAGCCCACCTGTATAAGGCAGATGCCTACATTTTATCTTATGTCACATAAGAATTTTTAAAAGCCCATTTATGTGAAAAATAAACAAAAAGAAGATAACTTTTTAACTCCATTGAGAAGCTTGCTACTTTTTTTGTGGTGAGCCAACTGGCAGTATTAGAATCACTTGGAAGCTTGTTAGAAATGCAGCTCAGGCCACCCTAAATTTGCTGATTCTGCATTTTAATAAGATTCCAAATGATCCATATGTGCATTATAGTTTGGGAGGCACTGGTTTACAGGCCTCCGAGAGAAAGATGACTGAATCCAAGCTTGCTTCCAGATGCACCTGAGCTACGGACATCAAGTTAATGACTCCTTCTCGACTGTGGCTGAACAGCGATGGTCCTATCATTTCCACCGCAAAGATAACTGATGAAGAAGGATTTCAAGTAGAAATTATAATAAGCTAAACATAGAACATAGTACTGTCTGCAAAAGTGACAGTGCCTCTTCCAGCTCCTGTGGTGGGTACAGACATCACTCTCAAAGCAATTACATAAGAAACAAGGCAGGGAGGAGTACTGGGGTAATGTCTCCTTGGCTTGGAATACCCACTCGTGAGTGGGAGTGTTCTAGCTTATACCGGATCAGAGACTTTCTTATATAAAAAACATATTTAATAAAGCAGATTGTCATTTTTGAATTTATACAAAACATTTCATTTTTGTTCATGATGCATTTTTAGTGAAAGCCAGTAGTGAAGTGTGCCAGTGGAATCCATTTCCATCTCCTTCTCTGAGGATGGGTCAGTGATAGGGTTGCAAGAATCAAGTTCAGTAAATGGGTGGTGAAAAATATGATTTTAAAGAAAGATTTGCATCAAAAGTCTTAAACTGTATTCACTTTTTTCTTTCCAGTCTTCAAAAATAGATAATCATAAGATTTTTAAGAAAATGCTCTTAATAACAGTAAATTTGCAAACTGCTGTTATCGCAAGCTACTTTTCAGACCATGTTGTTTTTTTCAAGCTTAAAATATGGAGAAGCTATCCAGAGCAAAGGCTTTTCAATGCCTCCCATGATCACTATGTGCAGAAAAATCATTCCAAAAGGTGATAACTCTAAATATTGATAAATCAATTAGGCCAGGCGTGGTGACTCACGCCTGTAATCCCAGAACTTTGGGAGGCCTGGGCGGGTGGATCACGAGGTCAGGAGATCGAGACCATCCTGGCTAACACGGTGAAACCCCGTCTCTACTAAAAATACAAAAAAATTAGCCGGGCGTGGTGGCGGGCACCTGTAGTCCCAGTTACTCGGCAGGCTGAGGAAGGAGAATGGTGTGAACCCGGGAGGTGGAGCTTGCATTGAGCCGAGATCACGCCACTGCACTCCAGCCTGGGCGACAGAGGGAGACTCCATCGCAAAAAAAAAAAAAAAAAAAAAAAAAAAAAAAAAAATCAATAGCCAGAGAGAACAACAACAAAAACCTCTCTGATCAAACAGACAAGGAAAAACAGTTATTAGAGAACGTAGATCTAGCAGTTGTAGGATCATTAGAAAGAAGCTATACTTTCTTTTTTTTTTTTTTTTTGCTAAACACTCATTATAATACTATAGGAAAGGTTATAAGCAACGAGCTAATATAAGGTAAAGACTTCTGCAAAAATGATATTTTTTCAGTGGATAAGAGTTATTACTAGTTCCCTAATAAAGAGTACCTGAACATTATTATCTAAGTTGTACATATGTGAAAAATTATATAGTTCTGGTAATCTTTTGGAGTCTACCTGTGATAGTTATCAAGTCCTGGGTTAGAATCTGTAAGCGTTGCTGTATTTAAATGTTTGATTATCTTTATCTGATTACAATCACATGTGAGGTATCCAGAAGGAAAAAAGAACCAAGCAGTAGGGTGCCTGAAAGAATTTGGACTGAAGGAAGCTTATTTCTTGCTGAAGGCTCTACATACATATTAAATTATTGAAAATGTTTTATTATGCAGCTTAGTAAATACTGCCAATGTCAGAATATCATTATTACAGTGCATTATTTTCCAATTAAAACACTAATATTCAGGCTTTTTTTCTCTTTTTTTGTCAGTTTTTCAATAGGATGATGATGGTAAAATCTCTGTAAGAAAATGAAGAGGACAGTATGAATGATGTGAGGATATTGAGAATGAGAAAAGAGATATTTATTTAAAATAATATAAATGCCAAAAGAACAATACATCTAAATAGTATGCTAAGAGACTGATTTGTTTTCAAGCTACAGATATCATCTTAAAATCCAGACATGAATAAGTTTCCCATCCTGTCTCCTTTGATTCTCTTAAAGAAACTAGCAAAATTCTGTGCTTAAAGAACCATCCATGGGTGAAGTAGTGTAGGGTCCCTCTGGGAGAAAAGGAGGGATTATGTTTCTATCCCCGTGACCTCCCCCATCCCAAAGAGACAAGACAACCGCAATTCTAGATCAATTTGTACTCTAATGTAGGTTACTAAAAATTTTGCTAGCAGTGTGAGACATAAATACCAAGCCTGTAGTGAGAGTCCGGGCCTTAGAATTAAGGAGAATTCCCCTTCTTTTGTTGTATTTCCTGTGTCTTTCTACTTTCCCTTGCAGTGTCAGTCACCCCTGTTCCATTTCTATTCCTTTTCTTTGACAGTCAATCATTTCTGTCCTATATATCTCTCACGGTCATTTCCCCTCTCTTACATTTAGGGCTAGTCTCACGCTGGCATCTGTCCTCCAGTCCCATCTTGTCCTCCACTTTTAGTCAAAAACACATTTTCACAACTCCAGTGGGGAGATATATATATATACATGACAAATATGGGGATATATATATGAGACATATATGTGTATGTATACACACACACACACACACACACAAATACAAAGAATAAAACAGTTCTGCTTTACTCAATGTCTAATCCATGTCGGTTTCTAAAATGTGAACTGAATTCTATGGAGAGCTAACTAAAAACACAGCATAATAAGAGAATATCATAGCTAACACAGATAAAGATTTCAATACCAACTGATACAAGTGAATTAAACTTCTCATTTTAAGCAGATGTAATGATTTTATGATGTTATCAAGTAGTATTTAATAATTAGATTTTTCTAGACATTATATTTCTTCATAGTTATAATGCTAATTCACTTTTTAAGAAATTAAATGCTATTTTGACTCTATCATAAAATATTTTTTAAAAGTTTTAAAAATTATTTGTCACATTCCAATGCCCATTATTGTACAGCAAGCTTGCTACTGAATGATGCAAAGAATCTTTCCACTTTTAAAATCATTTATTCCAACAGTATAACTAAGTATGTCAATATATTGGCATATTCTCTTTAAAATGGTAATATCTTTGGGAATTTGATATGATAAAATAATATGCCAGTTTGGTACTTGTAAATATTAAAATATATAAGCTCTTATTAATTTTGTTACTTAATTTCTTTGTAATGTAATATTAGACTACAGATAATATTTATGAATATTAAATATATCCTTTTCACATTCTTATTTTATTTTTCAAGCATATTTTGAATTAGGAAGATATAATATGTACCTGATTATTTGTCATTGAGAAAACAAACTTCAATAAATAATTTCCCTATTGTTAAGGAGTTAATTGTTCAGGGGACAAATGACATAATTTAATATAGCATAAATACTGTGCAGATACAAATAATGTTGCATCTCATCACAGAGGAACACACAGGCAGGAGTCAACTAAGAATAATGTTATGGAAGATCATGGAGGAGGTGGTGTTTTTCCTGTCTTGATAAATGAATACAAATATCGAGGGTGTTGAGGACTAGAGGACATTCTAGGAAGAAGAAATAGCATTGCCAAACGTATAGAAGTGTGAAATGGTATTATGCTTTGAAGATAAAAGTGAAATTTTTTTGTAAGTAGACTGCAAGATATGTTTGGATTTTGGTTGAGGGTGTTAAAGAGAAGGGATGGACTTTGTGAAACTTATTAGAATTTTTCATCATAGAAAACGGGGAACCAGTAAAAATATTTGAGTAGAAGAGACATATAATGGTGGTTCTGTTTTGTTTTGTTTTAAGTTTTCCCAGGGAGCATTTTTAAGAACTGATCAGACTGAGGGCAGAAACTGCAATGATGAGATGGCTGCCAAATTCCACTGAAGGGTGAGGGCCTAGACTTAAGACACGGAAGGAAAGATTTGTTTTGTAGTTAAGCCTATCTATCTAAATATGATAAAGCAGATGATCATATTTGGATAGATAGGCTTACCTGCAAAATATTTTATTTTTGTTCATGATGCATTTTTAGTGAAAGCCACTAGTGAAGTGTGCCAGTGGAATCTATTTCCATCCCCTTCTCTGAGGATGAGTCAGTGATACGGTTGCCAGGGTTAAGTTCAGTAAATGGGTGGTGGAAAATATTATTTTAAAGGAAAATTTCCATCAAAAGTCTTAAACTATATTCACTTTTTTTCTTTCCAGCCTTCAAAAATAGTTAATCAATAAGACCTTTGAAGCGTTGCACCAGGTCAAGAATTAGTGAGGATATCGATCTGAACACTGACACATTACACTTGTGTGAGTGAGAGAGGAAGGCGAACCTGAGTTCGAAGTCAAACTGTGTCTTTTCTATTCAAATACGAACCCTCAACTATTTTCATATATTTTAGATTAATTTTTAGCAGTGTTCTAATGAAAACATAAATGGTTTCTAACACCTTATTTTTAAAGCAAAATGAAGGAATGTAAATAAATATTTGGCTGAAGTATTGAGAACTAAATAAATAGAAACGTCCTGAAGCTAAGTGAACATATTTTGCACAGCTGTAGTCCTTAAATGGCGTACATGCCATTCAGAAATGTGATCATAGGGGAGAAATTGAACAAAAGCCCCCAAGAATGTCTCAGTTTCAAAGATAGTCAATTCTTGATTTAACTGTGGATCTATAGAAGTGACCAAATTTAAAGTTAATCCTAACTGAAATTATATTAATAGACTTGAATATTTCTAAAAATACCATTGCCAGTCAGAAATATTGCAAGTCCGGCCCGGTGTGGTGGCTCATGCCTGTAATCCCAGCACTTTGGGAGGCTGAGGCAGGCAGATCAATTGAGGTCAGGAGTTCGAGATCAGCCTGGCCAACATGAGGAAACCCCATCTCTACTAAAAATACAAAAATTAGCTGGGCGTGGTGTCACAGGCCTATAATCCCAGCTACCTGGGAGGCTGAGGCAGGATAATCACTTGAACCTGGGAGGCAGAGCTTGCGCGGTGGGCTGAGATCATGCCACTTCACTCCAGCCTGGGCTACAGAGCAAGACTCTGTGTTAAAAAAAAAAAAAAAAAGAAAGAAAGAAAAGAAAAGAAAGAAGGAAAGAAAGAAAGAAAGAAAGAAAGAAAGAAAGAAAGAAAGAAAGAAAGAAAGAAAGAAAGAAAGAAGGAAAGAAAGAAAGAAAAAGAAATATTGCAGGTCAAAGAAAGCCCCGTCCTTCTATTACTGCTTCTGGAGGAGTGAGACTACTGTCAGGAGTCTAAGGAAGACAAGAGGGAATGAGCGTGCCTAACACCTCCAGAGCTGTGAAAATAGAGAGAATAGTAGGAAAAGGACGAGGATAAGAAATTCCAGCTCAGAATGCATCCTTTTCCAATTCAATTCAAGTATAGTATTAAAAAAGAATCAGAGCTGGTTGAGGGAGCATAATATAAATTACAACAGATAGCTTTGACCTTTCCTCATCAATAAGTTTATGTAACGTTATTGTTCTTAAATTATTGTGTATATATATTATTTTTATATGTTTAGATGACCTTTATAGAACAGTAAACTTGTTTGTAACTACTGGATATAATTCTAGCTAAGTTTTTATTAAAATTATTTTCAGACATATAGGCTAGTGTTGTTTTAATTGCTTTTTGGTATGTGTAACCTATATTCTGCTGTTATTCTGGCTAACTTAAATTTTACTCTATAGCAATTACTTCTTAACATAATATTATTTTTATATCACATGTTAAATATAAATGTATTCAAACGACATAAAAGCTGACTAAATTATTAATTTACATTTTGCTCAAAATTATTTTTTAATAACTGTAGTAAAGATACATGTACTTCCAATTAGTACATTAATTAAGCAGCTACTATGTGCATGGCACTATTTTGGACACTGGATTATGAAAGCCAGATAGTATACTGCATTGGATTCATTTATATAAAAAATAAATAAATTTATTCATTAAAATAAAAGGCTATCTGTGGTATAAGCTAGACAGGTGGTATTAGTTATCTCCTACCTTTTCTTCAGGAAAAATGTAATTCTGCCAGCTAAAAAAGCCCGACGAGGGGACTCGTATACATCAAATGCCAATGATAGTCCAGATATGTGCATTTTCTTATTTAACATAAAAACATTTTGAAAGAAATGATAGATGTTAGACCTATTTTATTAATAGGAATTTTTCAAGTCAATTTATCAGTCAAATCTACATCACTAATAATAGGATATACGGCACTACACAACACTTTTGTCTCACTTCATAGGTCAGCTTCTATCACCTATTACAGGTTATAACAGTTATTATTTTAACTGAGTTTGAAACAAAGGTGAAAACTGAAGGAGGAGAGTGGTAGAGAATTTTATGTTCAGGAAAGGCATGAGCAAATCTGAAGGCAGGAATTTTAGGGATGATGTGGATAATAATAGATGTTTTCCTCTGCTTAGATACAAAATGTATTAAGAAAAGTGGGATGAAATATCTTTGAAAAAGGAATTTGTCCCTAAATAATAAATATCCTTGGATATTGGGATAAATGTTGAACTTTATTCTAGATGTAATTGGAATGTCTTGAAGTTTTCTGAATAGATAAAAGGAAATATGTGAATTGCACTCAGAGAGTACAGGGGAAGAAATGGAGATAGGTAAGTTCTGAAAGAGATAATTAGGACATGAACAAGAGTAATAGGAATAGAGTACCAACAAGGAACAAATGAAAAATGAATTTCAAATTAGAAAGGTTCTCAAATAGAGAAAAACACATATTATTTAACCTTTGTCAGATATTGTGGAAAATTAAAATTAAAAATTAATAGGCAAATTGTTGGAAACATTGTTTAACTCTAAATTACTAGGAATAAAAGACAAGAAAATGTCTTTTAAAGATGCAAAACATTTAATAAAACTATAAATAAAAAATATTGAAAACTTGTTGATTACTGTCAGGAACAAAAGCAAATATAAGGAAGTATCAAAAATATTAGTCGCCGAACTTCTTAATAGAAAAAGACTGAATACATTTAAAAATGATGTTCTGTTTATAGAGGAGATATATATACATACATACATAAGTTTTGAGAATTTCAAATAAAAATTTCCAAAGATGCATTTTAATAAGTAGTGGCCATCTATATTTCCACTTTTGAATATCATGTTAACTACCAACATAAGACAATGACAAATATTTCCTCAAAAAATTGATTTTCAACCATAGTCAACTATTGATTAAGAACAAATGAAACAGCTGGAAAATGAAGCCTAATTAAAATCAAATAATATATTTGAACAGTGAAAAGAGATCAAGATAGCTACAAGTCAATTTAATTACTATTTTTTTCCCAATCAAGTCATTTATATCAGCATAATGTTGTAAATGAAGTACTGAACGTGGGATCGGGAAACTTCACTCTAATCTTAGTTTTGGCTTTAATTAGCAGGTTATAATGATCATGCCAATTTCTCCACGATTTTCTATCTCTGTAAAACTTGCAGGAGTTGAAGTAAGAGAGCTAAATATCAATATACACTCAGTAAAAGAAAATTAAATTATCTTTTAAAATTTCCAACTAATTTTTAAGGCGAAAGAGAATACGTACATATGTAAAATTTAGAAAGCATTAATTTTCTTTCCCATGATATCCCAATTTGGTTGTCAAAAGAACATTTTTCCTATAATAATCTATTCATTCATATTGATGCATGTAACTAGCTTTGGGTTTATTTTCCTGCCTGTTACATCCCTACAGTTTAACCATGATGATAGATTTGACAACAGATAATTTACATTCTCTGCTGTATGATATTCAATTAATAAACACATCATAGTTTATCCATTAGTAAAGTGAAATCCTGCATAGATAAGTGAATTGCTTCCCGTTTTGACATTATACAGGGTGCTGCATTGATAATGAATGTCTGTATCTTCTGACAACTTGCAATAATTCCTTTGGGTATATAGCTACCTATTGGGTTGTAAAGTATGAAACTTTTTCGGCTTTACTAGGGAATGCCAACCAATTTTCCACAATATTTCTGCCAATTTACAATACTACAAAGAAAGAATGATCATTTCTTTGTGCTACATCCTTGTGAGACTTCGTGCCCAGTAGAGTGAATAAATGGTATATCATTACCGTGCTATTAATTTACAGTTTCTTAACTTGTAATAAAATTGAAAACTTTTCTTGACAAACTACTTGAGCAAGCAAGTAGTTTGAACTACGAGCTATTAGTTTGCCCACGTTTTAATGCTATCTTTCTTTGTTATTTATAAGATAAACACACAGACACACACACACACACACACACAATCTAGGGCTTCTTTAATGCTTTCCTGTAATATTATTTTTATCCAGAAAGATATTGTATATATTTTGTTAGATTAAATCCTCAATACTGAGGAAAAAAAGGTTGCTAGCATACTGCATTTTAAAAAATTATTTTCTCTGTTTTTTTGGTTGATAGAAATGTAACTAAACTTATATGCTAAATTTGTGTCCAAACCTTTGCTAAACTCTCTAATACTAATTACTTATCTATATATTCATGTAGATTTATAGCTACATGATTATACCATGTGAAAACAATGACAGTTTGATTTTTACTAATATTCTAATACTTAATAAGTGCATTCCAGCAATTAAACCTAACTTGACTACGATGTATTATTATTTTTTAGTAAGTTGCTGTTGGGTAGATAATATTTTGCTTGAGATGTTTGCATTTCTGTTTATGATTGAGCTTTATAGTGCTTTTATCTTAATGTTTTTGACAGATATTGATATCAATGTTATGCTAGTCTCATAAAATAAGCTGGTAATTGTGCACTTTTTAGTCTTGACAATTTGTATGATATCATTATTTATTTTTACAGTGTTTTTGGAACACACTGGTAAAATTATTTGTGGGTGATTTTTTATTTGTGGAAAGATTTCTAAACTACTGATTCAATTACTCTAATTGTTATCTCCTTCAGGTTTCATATTTCTTCCTCAGTTAATTTTGTTAATGGAATTGTCTATTTCCTCTAAGTTTCAAAGTGCACTGACATCAGGTTAGTAAAATTTCCTTATGTTTATCTCTGCAGCATCTGGCATTACGCACTTTTTTCATTCCATATGGAGCTTATTTGAACCATTACATATTTTCCTTTAATGAACCCTGCCAGAGGATCATTCAGATTATTTAATTTTACATTCAGGAATAACTTTGGCTAATATGATTCTAATTATAAATGTTTATAATTTATTAATTTCTACACTTTTTTCTTTTGTTTTCCCAGGGTTTATTCATTACTTTTCAGCTTTTTTAAAATAGTAATCCCATGTAATTCCTTTTAACATTACCTTACCTGCATCTGACAAGTATTGATGTAGGGTGCTTTTTCTATTGACAGCTCTAAATATGTTCTAATTTTCATTATGATTTTAATAATGATTAATTGGTTTAAGTTCAATAACTTATTTCCTATTTTATTTTGTATAATAGTCAAAATATGTTTTACTGTCTTTTATTATTAAATCAGCCTAATTATGCTGTTGTCATTTAACATTGTCTGACAGTCATGAAATTTAGTTTTATTTCATTTACTTTTTAATACAAATAATATTTTTATATTTTATATGTACAGATAAAATTATTTGTTTACCCTGCACAAAATGATATTTTGAAATATACGTACATTGTGGAATAACTAAATCTACCTAATTAACATCTGCATTATATCACATAGTTTTTTTTTAGTGAGAACACTTCATATCCACTATCAGCATATTTCAAGAATACAATATATTATTAATTGTAGTCACCATGCTGTATAGCTGATCTCTTGAATTTATTTTTCCTATCTAAATGAAAATTTTTATTGTTTAACCAACATCTCCCCAATCCCCCTCTCCAACTACCCGGCCCCTGATTACCATCATTCCACTCTCTACTTGTATGTTATGACAATTTCAGCTTCCACATATGAGTGAGATTACGTGGTATTTGTCCTTCTGTGCCTGACTTCTTTCATTTAACAGAATGTCTTCTAGGTTCTTCCATGTTGTTGCATGTGATGGAATTTCCCTCTTTTTTGTGGCTGAACCGTATTCCATTGTGTATATATACCGCATTTTCTTTAACTATTCATCTTTGAGGAATGCTTAGGTTGATTCTGTATCTTGGCCAATGTGAAAAATGATACGATGAACTTTTGAGTGCAGATATGTCTTCAACATACTTATTTTATTTCCTTTGTATATACACCCTGCAGAGGGATTGCTGGATCACATGGTAGTTCTATTCTTAAGTTTTTGAGAAACTTGCATACCGTTTTCCATAATGGCTGTACTAATTTACATCCCCAACAGTGCACAAGAGTTCTCTTTTGTCCACATCCCCACCGACACTTGTTATCTTTTGTGTTTTTCATAACGACCATTCTAGTAGGTATGAGATGATGTTTCATTGTGGTTTTAATTGAATTTTCCCTGATAATTAGTGATGTCGAACACTTTTTAGTATACCTGTTGCTCATTTGTATGTCTTCTTTTGAGAAATGTCTATTAAGGCCCTTTGCTTATTTGTAATCAGATTTTATTTGTGTGGTTTTTTTTTCTATTTGGGTTATTTGAGTTTCTTATCTATTTTAAATATTAGCTCCTTATTGTGTGTATTGTTTGCAAATATTTTCTCCCATTCTGTAGGTTGGCTCTTCACTCTGTCAATCGTTTACTTTGCTATGCAGAAGATTTTTCAGTTTGATGTAATCCCAGATATCTAGTTTTCCTTTCGTTGCCTGTGATTTTGGAGTCATATCAAAAAAACCCATTGGCCAGGCTAATGTCATGGGGCTTTTCCCCTATGTTTTCTTCTAGGAGTTTCATAGTTTTATGTCTTATATTTAAGCCCTTAATCCATTTTGAGCTGATTCTTTTATAGGGTGTGAGATAACGGTCTAATTTCACTCTTATATGTGGATATTCAGTTTTCTCAACACGGTTTATTGAAAAGACTGTAGTTTCTCCCATCATATGTTCCTGTTGCCTTTGTCGAAAATCAGTTGGCTTGTAAATGCATGCTTTATTTCTGGGCTCTGTGTTCTGTTCCATTGGTCTATGTATCTGGTTTTTGCCAGTACCATGCTGTTAGATTACTCTAGCTTTATAGTATATTTTGAAGTCAGGTAGTGTGATGTTTCCAGGTTTCTTTGTTTTTGCCAAAGATTGCTTTGGCTTTCTGATATTTGTGTAGTTCTATATGAATTTATGATCGCTCTTTCTCTATTTGTGTGAATAATGTCACTGGTATTTTGAAAGAGATTGCATTGACTCTTTAGATTGCTTTGAGTAGTGTGGACATTATAATAATACTCATTTTTCCAATTGACAAACACAAGATATCTTTCCATTCGCTTGTGTTTTGTTCAGTTTCTTTCATCACTTAACTTTGATTGCAAAAATAAAAATTCTCTATATTTTTTACTCAATTTTACCTTCATATTTTGAATTTTTGATGTCACAATTTACATCTTTGGATCATTGCACATGTCTTAATAAATTACTGTAACTATCATTATTGTCTTAAATATGCCAAGAGATTTTTTCTTTGTTTTTTTTTTAATCAACTGTCATTTTAGATTCAGGGGGTACATGTGCAGGTTTGTTACCTGGGTATTGTGGGATGCTGAGGTTAGAGGTATGAACAATCCCATCACCAAAGTAGGTTAATTTTTCATCCCTTACATGCCTCCCTCCCTCCCCCATCAATTAGTTCCCAGTGTCTATTTTTGTCATCTTTATGTCCATGACTACCCAGTGTTTGGCTCACACTTGTAAGTGAGAACACATGATAATTGTCTTTCTGTTTCTGCATTAATTCACTTAGGATAATGACCTCCAGCTGCATTCATGTTGCTATAAAGAAATGAATTTCCCTAATTTATGGCTTTATAGTATTCCATTATATATATGTATATATATATATATGCACTATATATATATATGCACTATATATATATGTATATAATTTTCTTTATCCAGTCCACTCTTGATGGGCATCTAGTTGATTCCACGTCTTTGCTATTATGAATAGCGCTGTGATGAGCATTCAAGTGCATGTGTCTTTTTGCTAGAATAATTTGTTTTCTTTCTGATATATACCCAGTAATGGGATTACTGGGTCAAATGGTAGTTCTGTTTTAAGTTCTTTGAGAAATCTCCAAACTGCTTCCCACAGTGGCTGAACTAATTTACATTCCCACCAACAATGTATAAGTGTTTCATTTTCTCTACAGTCTCACCAAGATCGGTTGTTTTTTGACATTTTAATAATAGCCATTTCATCTAGTGTGAGATGGTATCTTACTGTGGTTTTGATTTGCGTTTTTCTGATGACTAGTGATGTTAAGAAGTTTTCCATAAGTTTGTTGGCTGCTTGTATGTCTTCTTTTGACAAGTGTCTGTACATGTCTTTTGCCCATTTATTAATGTGGTAGTTTATTTTTTGCTTGTTGAATTGTTTAGATTTCTTATAGATTCTCAATATTAGGCCTATATTGGATGCATATTTGTGAGTATTTTTTCCCATTCAGTATATTGCTTAATTCCCATGACTCAAATATTTGCTTTTCTGATGTTATCACATGCATCCAGCAAGCTTTCTTCATTCATTTTCTCCTTTTTTCCCTGAATGTACATTTTTAAATAATCTGTCTTCAAATTTAGATTCTTCTGCTTAATCAGTTCTGCTATTCATGATCTCTATTGAATTTTTTAAAATTTTGTTTGTGTATTTTTTCATTATTTCTCCTTAATTTTTAAATATATTTTAATCCCTATATTAAATATTTTTGTTCTGCTCACTTATTGGTTCATTTATTTGAATCGCTTATCTGTATTTCTTTAAAATTCCCTGAGCTTCCTTAAAACAGTTATTTTGAATTCTTTGTCTGGCACTTTTTACGTCTCAATTTATTTAGGATTAGAGTCTCTGACACCTTATTTTGTTCATTTGGTTATGTCATGTTTTCCTAATTGTTCTTGACCACGTGGTTGTGCATTGATGACTGCTTATTTGAAGCAGCAGGCACTTATTTCAATATTTCCAGACTGGCTTTATCTGGAAAATTCTTGTGATAGGTGTAGCAAAAGGCAGGCAGAAGTCCAGAGCAGATGTGACTGACGTGGTACTGCCAGAAGTCTGGGACCTGCTACAGCACACATGATGCTGGAGCAGACCATAAGCTGGGGGATATTACAGCTGGCATGGTACTGGAGCTCACCTGAATTCAAGGTCTGCTAAGGCTTATCTAGTCTTGAGAGCTATCCAGAGCTCAGATTCTGATGTTAGCTTGAAGGCATTATATGCCAGAAATTGATTTTGCCATGCAAGTCTGAAGCCTGGGTCTGTGTGGTTCTGCCTTGTGTTGGGGAATATCTAGTGATTCAGGTCATGGGTAACAACCTGGAATATGGGGTTATGGGGTTCTTCTCAGTGGTGAGTTTTATTGTGGTGGGCCCAATGTTGAGGTCCAAGGCAAAGTCCTATGCTTACTTCACTCTGTTTCCCCAAGTGCATGGCGTATCTCTCTAGACTGTGCTGCCTGGGGTTTGGGGAAGTGTGGTGTGGGTAATGTAAAACTGTCCTTTAAAACATATTTTCTTATAACTGTATTATAACCAAGTACTGTGGCGTTTCACCTGATTTTCTTTGTGAAGGTGTTTTCATGCATAAAGAGTTGTTCACATTGATATTTCTGTGTGGAGACCTTTGCTGGATTCTGCCATCTTGCTGTGCTCCTTGCAGTCTTGAAATTTGGTAAGACATGCTAGATGTTACAAATCCCATCTTCAGGAAGCTCTCAGAGAGCTGGAAAAGAATGGATATTCTCAAATAGTTGCATAATGCAATAATATTTTATGTATGTTCTATCAATACATTTTGCTTATATTTCTTGAGTTTTGTTTTAATGTTTATTATGACTTTTCCTCTGCTTACATATGTATAATTTGTTCTTTGTTTTCTAAATTTCTAATAGGTAAATTCAGATAATTATTTCTGACGTTTTTCTTCTATTTGCATTTAATGCTTAAATTTCCCTCTATGAAATGTTCTAGATAGATTGCACAAATTTTCATTTGTGTTTTCATTTTCACTTACTTCCAAATACTTGTTAATTTTCCTCTTAATGTTTTCTTTAAACTATCAGTTACTTAAAAGTGTATTTTCTAGCTTCTAAATATTGAGACTTTTTAAACTAAAAGCTTTAAAAAGTCTCAATATTTAGAACTCCATGGAGCAAAACACTTTGATTTTGTTAATTTAATTATATTTGGGGCATAAAATATTTTTGTATGTTTTGAATTATTAAGAATTATTTTATGACAAAGGATATGATATATCTTATTAAATATTCTATTTTCACTTTATACAAATGCGCATTCTGCTATTTTGGAGTGGATTGCTCTATAAATGTCAATTAGGTCACGTAGGTCAAATCTTATGTATTATTACTAATTTTCTAAATAGTTATTCTGTCTACTATTGAGAGAGAGCTATTGAAATCTTATATAATAATTGTCACTTTGTCTATTTTTCTTTTAGTTCCATAACATTTACTTCATTTATTTTGAGACGCTCTTATAAGTTGTATACACCTTCAGGGCTGTTGTTCTTTTAATGAATTGAGCCTTGGGGTAGTTATCTATTGCTATGTAACAAATTACTTTAGAATTTAGCAGCTTAATATATTAAGATATATTATCTCATAATTGTGTGAGTCAGATATCTAGCGTCACTTAGTTGGATGACTCTGTCTCAAGGTCTTTCATAATTTTTTAGTGAAACATTAATACAACTGTGGCAGTAGTCTCATCTGAAGAGTTGACTGTGGCAGGGAATCCACTCCCAAGCTTATTACATGGTTGTTAACAAGTCTTGGCCTCTCACTATATAAACCTTTCCGCAAGAGTACCTCATAACATAGCAACTTATTTTCTGAATGATGAGTAATCAAGGACCTGAACCAGAAACAACTCTTTAAATCCTAATCACAAAAACAAAATCATATCTCTGTCATGTTCTATTTTATAGAAGTAAGTCAGTAAATCCAGCCTACTCTCAGGGTAGGTAATTACAAAAAGGCATACATACAGGTGGTAGGGATGGTTGGAAGTCATCTCAGTGGCTGTCAACCTCAATCTTTAATTTGAACCCAACATCAAAAAATGTCTCAGGGAAGAAAATAGCTAGGAATCATTGGCTAATCTCAGAAGATCTCTTTCTTCTCCAAAATTTGAATTCATCTCGTCTTTGTGGCTTCTCCAAATTTATGATGTCTTCAAAATATTATTTTGTAATATGTCTATGTTTTCTAATTTGCACTGAGAGCAATAGTCTACCATTGCTTGCTACCTGGAAGTAAAATGTTTTATTTTAATTAATATGTTCTTTCTTTATAAAAGTTTGATTCATCTCCTTTTCACAACTCTTTGTTCATTTTTATAGTCTTTTTTATTCAATTGTATTTTCATTTTCCTATAAATATGTTCTGAAAACTCTACTGATGATATTTTCTAAACTCTACCCATGATATTTTCTAAAAGTGTTTCGGTAAATAGCACTTCGCCCTATCTGCAAAAAAAGCTTAAAATCCTCAGAGATTAAATATAAAATGAAAGCAGGAATCCATAAAGGTGTGTAAACTCTAAAGTTGACTTTTTCTTAAAAACCGAATCCCATTTTATATTTTAATAACTTACACTCAGCTGTATCAATTATAAGTAGAAAATATCATTAAGAAAATAGTATGTGAAAGTGAATTGGATGAAAGGGGAAATAATGTTTTTCCAATTACAGGCCATGTATGCAGGACACAGGACACATAGTATCTTTTGTATGCCATATATTCTTAATGAGAATATTCTCATTCTTCATGGAGAAAAACACTTTGATTTTGTAATACAGACCCTTTAATGTAGCCTCTACCTACCTATTCCATTTTTCTAGTTTTCAGTTCCTCTATTGAACTTAATGTCATAATATTAATACTTATATTTTCTACATGCTAGTTCATATCCTAATACCTTTGGTATTCCTTCACCCTGTTACTTCCCCCTTCCTATTTCTCATGGGTAATTCATACTGTGTATGTATTTTCTTAACATATATTGCAACTTCCCTCTAATATGCCTTCTTGAGTTACAGAAGCTAGAAAGTTAAAATGATGTTTTCCTACTTCCTTTGACTTTCATATATCTAGTAGTCATGTAAATCTTGAGTTTAGAACAGAATCAACCAGAGAGAACAAGAGCAGCAAATTATGAAACGTGAATTTTTTAATATAATATAAAGGCATTATCAGCTTCCTAATTCAGGCAGCTTACAGATTAGAGCAGAAAAAAAAATGGCTCTAGGGTAAATATCTGTAGTGATAATTACTCAGATCCACAGGTGGCTTCCTGATAATGTCAGTGTAGCAACTTCATTGGCAACCCAGTTCTGTAATGTTTTAGAAAATTTTTCTGGAAGCACAGATTAGAGTCCATTTCATCAGCTGTGTTTATGATTAAATTTCATTTAATGGTTCATTATGAATCTCTTTCTTTTTGAACAATCTAGAGAGGATTACATTCTTTGCATAAGAACCCTGATTGACATACTCAATCTTTAGAATTTGACTCTAGTGATATCTCATTCAGTATTTTAACAAATTATTTGATTACCTTTTATAAAATTCCTCCACGGAAGTACTTACGAAATGTTTTAACACTGTATTACTTTCTATCTTGCTGAATTACTGAATTACTATATTGACTATTTTGCTTTAATTTGAAGATGATTTGCTAAGTGTTTTATATTACATTTTGCTCTTGAGGTTAAACTGACATTGTGTCTTTTAAAATGTTTCCCCATTTGAGGATAAACTCTTTGAAAGCACAGTCCATTTTAAATCTATATTAGGAAAACAGTTTGTAATAAACACACTGGCTCTAGCAATGGTATAAGGTCCTATCCACAAGCATTGTTTTTAATGCTGCCTCTTTTCCATCCATTACACTTAGTTCAGTGATTATTAGTGTTTGATAAAACTAACTGTATCCATTTTTCTCTTCATTCCTCAAATTTACTTTTTAATTCAAATATGTATTCAAACTTATTGGAAAAAGTATTTGAAATAACCATTTTATAGAGTAATGTCTGTCCCCATATTTACAGTAAATTCCTGACTTAATATTTAAGTCATTATGTTAATAAAAATCCAGCAATCTAAACTGTTATATTATCAGATATTTTGATGAATTATTTGATTTAATCATGTTATAAACCCCATGTGGTAAGCTACAATATTTGCATTTCACAGCTGAGAAAATTGGAGCTTCTAGAGCCTAAGTAATTTCAAGTCAATACAGTAAGAACTGAAGAGATAATTTGAAAATAAGAGTTACTTCAAATCAGCAGTATTAATAAATGTCAAAACTTCTTGTACACACAGACATCTGGAATTTCTGGTCAGAGATCTTAAAGCCTGCCAGAGAGGAATAGGAACTAAAATAGATGGTTTAATCACTAGTCCCTATGCTTTGACTCAAACAGCTATATTTTTATCTATTTTATATATTGGGTTTTGACAAAGAATCTGTCTTTGACCAAACTTTTGTCAGGCTCCTCTGAATCCTCTTATCAACTAGGCCTCAACCCTTGGACTTCCTTGCCTATGTTTGCAATGCTCAATTTTAGAGAAAAATCTGCAAAATTAGTTTAGTGAATATTCTGCACCCTTAAGACCTGATCTTCATCCCCCATCCTTGGTACCTCATCATCCTGATCTGCCTTCAGCAAGACTGCAGTCAAGGGAGGTTCACTGCAACTCCTCTACCCATACCCGTTGTCTTCTTATGCCTGATGTTTCCTGTTAGTAATTTTCTATACACCAACCCCCAACACGCTTCTTTGGCTATAAATCCCCACCTGTGCATGCTGTATTTGAAATGTAGCCCAACTCTGTGCTGGTCTATTTTCTTCTATTACAGTAATTTCCGAATAAAATCCGTCTTTACCACTTTAACTACTGTCAGATTCCAGTTTTCTTTAACAATCCCCACTTAAGATTTCCTAGGAGAAATGCATCATATAGCTAAAACTTCTAATCTATTGATGTTTGGTACATATGCAATATTTCTTAACTTGAAGTCTCCTAAAAATAATTAAGTTTTGTATATTAACTGCTTGCAATGTTTGTAGCCTTTAATTATTGATTTTAGAGTCAATAATCTTGATTTTTTAAAAATAACATAATTATAAGTAATTGAGATTCAAAAAGCCATATGCTACCTTACATTCTTTCCATGTGGAAAATGCTTTTAAGATAGTTCTGTAGGGAAAAGGGACAACCAGGTGTAAGAAGCATTCCACTTGCAAATCAAGCTTTGCAGTTGGGGTTATTAACGTAATAGATAGCAGAGCTCTGAACATCTGCTTGTTAAATGGTAGACTTCATTGCTGATTTCCTTGGAAAATACCTTTTAAAAATGACTGCTATTTGCATGGCTTTGCTGTTATGTGGTAAACATATTACCAAAAATTGTATAAGCCATTAGGAGCCATAACATGGTATTACTGAATTACTATATTGACTATTTTGCTTTAATTTGAAGATGATTTGCTTAGTGTTTTATATTACATTTTGCTCTTAAGGTAATCAAATATAAATAATTATAAACTACCTAACTGGAGAAATAATAACTTATCCATAGGCCTTTAAGATTATAATTGATTTGGTGTAGTTTTATGTTAGTCCAGAAAGTCAACCTGAAACTGATTACCTATTGATGATTTCTTTGCAGTATGTGCATTGTCAGTGAAAAAAATCTGTAAGGGAAAACTAGGGCAAGTGGAAATACTATAATCTTGTCAGAGTTTGTTCAGGGACCTTAACTTAATTGTAGAAGCCCACGAGTGTCATAAAATGGTAAATTGGTCTAGCATTTCAACATGCTGAAGAGATTTTAAAATGGCTGACTACTACTCAAAAGAACAACAACAAAAACACCCCACATGCACCACTGAAAAATTACTTGATTTTTAATTGCTCTCAACCAACCCACACCAAGCAAATGATTTTCCAGTGTTTGACATACTGGATAGAGTCAATGGCTCTAAAATATTGCTGTTGCTAATTGCATCTCTGTCTACTTTAACACAGCTGAAGTCATTTCCTCATGTTCTAAACTGGCACAGAGACAACTAAAAAATAATCAGATTCTTTTGGATAGGATTCTATTCATTGGGACTTTATTTTGCTAACACTAATTCAAGGCTAATATGGTAGATCTTTAATTTAAAGTTAAATTTGGAGGATAAGCTGGGGATTCAAAGTACCTTCGTTTGGCCAGTAGTTACCCTACAGCAAAGCCAGAATTGCAATCTCTGCATCTGTGAGACTTTCAAAGCTTTAATGGATTAAAAATCATTTGCTTTTTGATCTATCATAAAATATTAGATTTCACTGAGATTTGAATAGAATTCCATTGGAACTATGTTACTTTGGAAAGCAGCATGACATGTCCTATTTTAGCTAACTTACATATATTATCTCATTTAATACAATGCTCAGTATCTATACACTTATTTTGCAGCTAAAGAAAACATACAGGATACATTAAGATAAATATCTTGTGTATCCAAAACACCAAAACAAGCAAACACGCTTTAATGAGCTTCACGAAATTTGGAATTAAGACTACTTTGTTTGGTTTCACAGAAGATCCTAATCTCTGCTTGTTCCTGTATTCTTCCTGAGATTTTTATTGTAAATAGAAGCATGGGATAATGGTAGGTTAGAATGAAGATTCTGGAATCAGACCATGTGGGCTCAAATCCTTGCCTTAATACATATGAGAAATGTGACTTTGATCGAGACTTTGATACAGTCAGGTAATTATTTAAGCCTAAATTTCTTTGTGAAATGGAGAAAACAATAACTCCTACCAAGTTATGGTAGTTAGGAAAATTCATGAGTTAATAGAATTCAAACAAATAAAGCGCTTAGATCCATGTAAGTTAGCACTGGAAATAACTGAGAACCTGATTGATTTAATTTGCTCAATAAATAGTCAAAGATAGGCAATGTTGTTATCCAAGAACCTTTCTTTATCTAGCTTTACCATTCTTTGAATGTGACTTCTGTTATTGTCATTCTAACATGAACACTGATATCAGTATGCATGTCTGTCAGGCCTCTGAGCCCAAGCTAAGCCATCATATCCCCTGTGACCTGCAGGTACACAGGCAGATGGCCAGTTCCTGCCTTAACCGATGACATTCCACCACAAAAGAAGTGAAAATGGCCTGTTCCTGCCCTAACTGATGACATTATCTTGTGAAATTCCTTCTCCTGGCTCATCCTGGCTCAAAAGCTCCCCTGCTGAGCACCTTGTGACCCCCCACCCCTGCCCCTGCCCGCCGAGGGCAACCCCCTTTGACTGTAATTTTCCTTTACCTACCCAAATCTTATAAAACGGCCCCACCCCTTTCTCCCTTCGCTGACTCTCTTTTCGGACTCAGCCTGCCTGCACCCAGGTGAAATAACAGCCTTGTTGCTCACACAAATCCTGTTCGGTGGTCTCTTCACAGGGACGCGCATGAAAACATCTATATACAGAAAGAAGAGAGGAAGCCAAGCAACACAAGGAAATCTCTATAGGGGGCTAAAGTTTATATCTCATGACCATAAACAGATTTAAATGTCTATCCTAGTTATAGAGAGACTGAGCAATAAATATTTTAGTTCTATAGATCCTATTGGAGAGAAAGACAAAGGAGTATGTGGTGTTCAGACTAAATGTTGAATAAGTCAATCAAAAAATATGCTACAGGAACATAGTAAGAATTGTAAATGTTAGTAAATAGAGTCTTGTCTTCTCCTTGCAGAACTCTATGCCTCAGATTACTAAACTTACTCATCAGCACGTAGTGCAGGGTTTATTTTAATTTTTGGTTCAGTTTGCTAGCTCAGTCTTTCCTAATCCCAATCCAAATTTCTAACCGAATAATGTCACAATTCTTTGGTGGCCAAATATCTATTCCTAAACTGGAACTTCAGTCTAGTTTCTAGAATATAGCTCTCATACTATTTTAAGTCAGTCATGTATGCTGGAATTTGTGTTGGTTGGAGTGAGAAGATACCTGTACATGTGCAGAACATGCAGTTTTGTTACATAGGTATACACATGCCATGGCGGTTTGCTATACCCATCAATCTGTCATCTACATTAAGTATTTCTCCTAATGCTATCCCTTCCCCAGCCCCCCAACCCCCGATAGGCCCTAGTGTGTGATGCCCACCACACTCCCAGGTGCTGTGTCCATGAGTTCTTATTGTTAAACTCCCACTTATGAGTGAGAACATGTGGTGTTTGGTTTTCTGTTCTTGTGTTAGTTTGCTGAGAATGATGGTTTCCAGCTTCATCCATGTCCCTGGAAGGGACATGAACTCATCCTTTTTTGTGGCTGCATAGTATTCCATGTTGTATATGTCCCACATTTTCTTTATCCAGTCTGTCATTGATGGGCATTTGAGTTGGTTCCAAGTCTTTGCTATTGTGAACAGTGCTGCAATAAACATACATATGCAAGTTTATCTTGCCGGGTACAGCACAAAAGTGATTTGATAAAGGGCCATTAGAGTGTTTTTGATGTTATTATTTCTAAAATATCATAATAAAACATTTTCTCAGATTCTCATAGATAGGCTGTTACTTATGTTTGGCAAAGAATATTACTACAAGTTTATTGTACCTATATAAAAAAGTAGTTTCTTGAAATATTATCTATAGATTTAGCTGATGAAAAACATCTTATTTTCATTAGAGTGCTGTCTAAAAATCTGTGTTTTTTCAAGAATAAATAATTCAGGTACCCAAAAGACTATCATTAGCAATTAGTTGTATTGGAGAAATGTGACTATATATCTTAAAATCTATTGTAATATATAGAAGAATATTTCTATTTTATTTTATTAGTCTTAAATAATCATGAAAGAATCAATATTGCTCTCATATCCAATATATGTCATTTTCTTAAGTAGTTAATAAAATATACTTTTGCTAATCTTTATTGAGTAATTCCAATATCCCAGATGTCATGTCAAATGATGTATATACCTTAACACATTTAATCCTCCTAACAGCTCTATATATACTTCAAATTATTAAACCCACTTTACTGATATAATTAATCTAAGGTAACACATCTAGAAAATAATGAATCCAGATTTAAATTCAGAGGGCCTAGCTTCAGATCTGTCATTCTAAATTGCTGTGTGCTATAGGGTTGTGTTTCCTTTCAATTTAAATGTTTGCGCATTCGTCAATGCCACTGGTGATAATATAGAGTAAGTTCCAAATCTTGTCTGATTCCAACATTTTATTGCAAGGCCTTTGAGAAAGAAATTGTGTTGCATCCATGCTTCATGATGTTTAGTCAAGGATTTGACAGATAATTTCTCTTGTTAAATATTGTTTTCTTTAATTTTTAGTAGCCATATAAAAGAAAAGACAGCTTAGATAATATGGATAAAAGTAGAAATATTTATTGACAAAAATGTATCATGAAACAAACTTTTACAAGTATTTCTATTTGTCTACTTTCCTACTATCAACAAAAATTATAAGAGGACAATAATGTTTTAGGATATTTGAATTTAATAATGATTAGAAGCAGATTTTTTGTGTGTGTATGTGTGTGTGTTGGCAAAGGTAAGGGGTAGATGAGAGGAATGTGGTGTTTGATGTAACATAATTTATTTATAAATATGAAATGAGAGTAATAAAAATTAATAGTAACAATGGGAAGCCAGAAGGGCAGTCATTAATGATGTTAACCAAGTCAATCACTAGGCTGGAGAAATAAGCAGAGCTGTGGTTCATAGTAAGTGTGGCTGGCTCCATTTAACTAACTGCATAACATCTATTTTCTTATTCTTTCTCACTAATAGAAACCCAATTCTGTTTGAGGCTCAATTATACTCAGTTAGAAACATGGCATGTAGGCACAACAAAATTGAGGTTCTGTTAGATAAGAGAAAATATAGATTATTGATTGAATAGTTGATAATTTCTGCCATTGTAAGTTTTAACTAGAATTAAAACAAAAGAGCATAAAACACAGTAATTTAATTTTGCATCACTAAGGTACTGAAGCACCATGAAAAGAACTTCAAATCTGTGTCTATGATCTCAGGCAAATGGCATTTTTGTGGTGGGAAAAAAGGAGAAACAGATGTAAAGTAACTGAGGCTATGTAATAATCTTGAGTGACTGAATTTGAAGAAAACATATAGGTACAAGGATGTACTTGAACTCATAATGGCTTTGACTTGAAAAAAAAAACACAGACACCTTAACTCTGTCCAACAAAATAGTCTAGAAACAAGGACTAGCCAATAATAATAAGTATCCATGGTGTCTAGATTGTGGTGTTTAAATTTCATTTTCTACAAAACAAAAACAACAGAAGTCGAAGATACTAGAAGAAATATCTGATTCTAAATCTGGGGCAGAAAATATACAAGATAATTCTGGAATGATTTGTCTTACAAGAAATCAGGCTATCACAGACTCCTGAGGATGTTTTCAAAGGATTCAGCAGCTAGCTAGAGAGACTTCTATTGGCCAAAGGAGGGACAGATGCACAACTTAAAAATGGAATAGGCAGAGGAGAGAGGAATTTGAGGGCAGTGAAAATATGCTGTATGGTACTATGTTGATGAATACAAATCATTACAACACCAAGAGTGAATGCTAATGCAAACTGTGAATTTTAGGTGACAGGTATGTGTCAATATAGGTTCATCGATTGTAATGAATCACCACTTGGTTGGGGCTGTGGGTAATGGGAGAGGCTGGGCATGTGTGGGAGTAGGGGGTGCATGGGAAATCTCTGTACCTTCCTCTCTATTTTGCACTGGGTCTAAAATGTCTCTTAAAAAAGAAGCCCAAAACACTGTAACAACTTTTACACTAAATGAAACAAGTTGCTAAAATACTAAATAAAAGCCAATATAAAAACTAAAAAACCTCTTGGTGATTTTCAAGATATTCTAAGTCACAGATTGGAAACGATGACCTGTGAGTCTAATCCGTCTAGCTTTCTGATTCTGTAAAAAAAAAGCTTTACTGAAACACAATACACCAACTTGTTTACATTATTTTCTATGGTTGCATTCTGGTTATATCAGTAGAGTTGAGTAGCTGTGACAGAGGCTGTATGGCTTACAAAGCCTAAAAGATTTACAATTGGCTCTTAGCAAGTAATAGGATTCAGGACATACTACCTCAAAATATAGTATCTTGGTATTTGAGAAAACAGCAGAAGTAAAAGATCACCTTTCCCTGCCCTTGTCATCTGAGTTATATCTTCAGACCATGTGAGAAGTGCCCACCTTATACCCAAACGTAAGGAATATCCTTATCTCTGAAGACCCAGGGATACAGAAGGATAGGAACAAAAAAGCCCTGTTAAGTTCTCAGAGTTTTTAATCATTAGATTATACCCCTTTTGTCCAATCATACATCTCTGCATCTACCCACTTCTTCATAAAACTTAGTATAGAAACACACAGGTTTAGCTGTTTGTTCGGGTCTTCATTTCCTTATGAAGACATCTGTCTCACATAAAACTTCTGTTAAATACTTTCCATGCTTTTCTCTAGTTAATCTCTTGTGTTATAAAGGCCTCGGCCATGAACATAAGATGGGAATAAAATAAATTTCTTTTTCCCTACACAAAAAAAGCTTTCTGATCTCTTTTCTAAGTAGTCAACTCATTATTTTGAAAAATAATTAATAAGAATGTAGCATTTTTTTTCTGTCTCTCCTTTATGAATAATACCTCAAATTTTCCAAATGTCAGGAAGAGGATATTTTCTTTATAGATGTATTCTAGCTTATACATAAAAATATAATAAGAAAATTAGAATATCACAGTTTTTCTACTTCTGATGAAAGAATGCATCTAATGATGTAATTGATCAGCAAGGCTAACACCATAGAAAAAGTCCCCCAGACATCATATGCCTTCTCACAGAACTTAAAAAACGGCCTACAATGTAGTCTTGCAAAATATCAGTCCTAGATCTGACGAATACTGCAGATCTAATTTACAAGAAAAATCTGTAACAGAAGTAACATACGAAACCATGCCAAGTTGATTTAATCAATAATTTCAGTCCGTGGGAAACTGAAGGAAAAACCACTAGTTTTTAAAACAACTAAGATGAAAAAAAGAAAAGAGAGTGAGAGTGAAGGAATACTAAAGACCTGTTAAATTGTTAGGTGAAAACTTGCAACTATGGCTATGTCAAAAAATAGAAAGTGAGAATTTGCATTTTAAAGATACATGCTCAGGTATGTGGATGAAATAAAACATCTGGAATTTGTTTCCAAATTACTTAGGGGAGGGGGAAAGAAAAGAGGGCCACAGATAGAGCAATATTGTTACTTGTTGATGTGAGATGATTACATCATAGTTCTTTATACTATTTTCTTTATGTTTGAAATTTTCCACAACTAAATGTTAAAAAAAAGGAGACAGTGGGAATAAATTAAGTCAAGCCAGAAACCCTATTAAAAAGGGCTTATTGAAGAATTGTTGGTTAAGATTTTGTTCTTGCACACTGTCTGTATAGAACATAGAATTTTGCTTTGGAGCAAAGGTTAAATCAGTAACAAATGGAAAACTGGCCAACTTGCCTGTGAGAAAGTGAGAAAACTTATTTACAAATGTAACACAGCCAAGCTGTATTCAGTATCTGCTCCAAATAGCTGTCATTACCAGCCCCATCTGTTTAATTTTTAAATCCAATATTGTTTACATTAGAATAAGGCAGAATTTCTATTCTAAAAAGTGGTTTTTAAGTGATGATGAAATGACTTAGTGTGGCTGACTTAGAGAACCTTGTAGAAATGTAGTCATGGATCAGTTAATGACTGCATTCAACTGATACTAACACAGTGGCAAAATAGCATTGCCCTAAATAAGACAGTGACTTATTTTTCTTCTAATGAAATTCAGAGGTAAATAGTCTAAAGATGGTATGACTGCTTTACCATAATTACTATAGTTCCATACTCCTTCTTCTTGTTCCAGCCATCAAGTGTACACTCTGTGTAGAAGAAAGAGAAATATTTACTGGTAGAAATGTTTACTGGTAGAAATGTTTTCTTGCTTATCAGACTGATGTTTACGAAATTTTCTTCAGCTCTCAGGCAGTTGGCACTGTTTACATTACACTGACTACCCAGATCTGCAAAGCAGCTGAAACAAATGTAGTTTATTAGCTGGGCAGGAAACCATCTGAACAATACAGAAGTTCACTTACTGAAAAAAAGAGTAGCTATTAGCAACTGGACTCTGAGCCACAAAACCCAAGGTTTCACTAGAATGTGAGCTATCGCCTTTTCTTTTGGCTGCTGTCAGCACACAGTATGTAAAATAGAGAAAACAGGGAACTTTCTAAAAGAAAACTAATTTTAATTCTAAAAAGATATGAGTATGGCTTAGCAACTAAATCTGTTAGATGGGGTTGACTTCATCATTACTCCTTGTTTTTGGGACAACTCATCCACGACTTGGAAACGTACAAAAAAAGAAGGAAGGAAGGAAGGAAGGAAAGAAAGAGAAAGAAAAGAAAGAAAGAAAGAAAGAAAGAAAGAAAGAAAGAGAGAAAGAAAGAAAAAAAGAAAGAAAGAAAACAAACAAACAACTGAGAGTGCTTTCAGTAGAATGCTCCGTGGTATCCAGTGGATCCACCCAGGATTAACTAATCTTCTAGGGCTGTGAACATTTGAATGTCTTTGCATGACCAGGCTGTTTAACTTTTTTGAAGATGTAGAATTTATGTTGCAGAAAACTAATTATCATACAAGTGTTACCTATCCATGGCAACACGGATGATGTTTCTTCTTGGCAATGCAAGCGAAATTTGTCTGGTAGACAATATAAACCTCTGTAGGTAAATTCTCATTTGAATTGGCATCTGTCTCATTCCTTCTTTAACTAATGCATTAAACAAAAACATTTAAATGGTTGCTATTTTTAATTTTATGTTTGATTGACAGCTATAATTGCCCTTTTTTGAAAATTAGTCTTGAATTGTTTTGCAGATCTCACTGAGAAGCTCAAATGGAGCTAACTTGATAGATCCCTGTGTGGCTGGAGCAGTGTAAACCAACAGAGTGTTGAGACAGGTTTTATCTTGGTTCCCAGAGTGAATATCAAGTAGCAATAGACCTTTAATTTTAATGCTTCTATGTTTCTCTAGTATTTCCAGAACCCCTCTTTACTAATTTTTCAAATTAATCATAAAATATTTTTTCAAGTTACTATGCTTCCATCCTTGAAAAACTATAGTATTTTTTAGTAAAGGTACTTCTTTTATTTCAGGAAGCACATTTGAACACTGTAAAGAGTACTGACATTTAAAATTGATTCAATTTACATAACATTTTCTAGGGACTAGAAACAAGCTTCAAAGGAGAAATTTGAATTCTTTTTATATATCACAATGCCCAAAAGGATAACCAAATATATCACTAGCTTATCTCCCTATTTCCCTGATAAGGCATATTATTTCTGTTGGCAATTGGAGGAGTTATTTCCAGTAACAGATACGTGAAAATGCTAAAGACAGCATTTTTACAGAGTTTAGTTTCAATTATATGTTTCTGCCGAATTATATGTGGAAGTAGGGTTGGAGAGGGTCTAAAGGTGATTAACTTTTTTATTTTTGGCTATATGTTTCAGGCTACTGACAGTGATGTGAACCAGAGATTTTGATAGAAAATGAAAAACTTTTTGGGAAAAAAATCCTGCAGTGAAATCTTTAACAGTAGCCAACTTATGAATATTTCATTTATACTTACTTGAACATCTTAAACCACATTATCATAAGTAATTCATAGTCCTTTCCTAAAATAAGAAGGACTTATGATGCAACTTTTTATACTTGGAAAATAATTATAAAATGTATTCTTGAAAGTAGTATCTTTTATTTTGCCAACCACTTCTTGACTAACATTAGGTAAAATTACATGCAACTCCGGTCACTGCAGTTATTCCTTGGTTTTGTCTTTCTGAAGAAAAAAAACAGTTGTACCATAGCTGATAGTTATAATGATTTATATTATGTTCCCAGTTCTTGTTTACCAAGTCTGAAACAGAGTCAGAGAACGCAGACTGTGAGCATATCTTCTGGTTATGCCTCTAGATCTATTTTTCAATTTCTGCCCTCTCCTCCACCTTAGAGGCTGATCTATAAACCAAACAAGGAACTCCCCTGATTTATCATTTCCAGCTGGGTTTGGCCATGGTGTGGCCCAGCAAGAGACAAGATAGGAGGAAGAGTGAGGTTGGGTAGTTTTTCCCCTGGCTTCCCTCATGCACAGGCTACCTGCGTTCATCAGATGGGGTTGCCTCATTAAACCAATCTCCTTTACAGGATTCTGTCTTTCAAGGTACAATGACCACTGTTTGCCCCTTCCATTTGCACCTGCAGTGGCAGCAACTCTGCTCTTACCAGCACTGTGGATGTTGATATAATTTGGATGTTTGTCCCCTCCAAATCTCATACTGAAATGTAATCTCCAATGTTGGAGGTGGGGCCTAGTGGGTGGTATTTGTCATGGGAGCAGGTCCCTTATGAATGGTTTGGTGTCCTCTCCATGGTAATGAGTTCACATAAGAGCTGCTGTTTGAAGAGCCCGGCACCTCCCTGCCTCTCTCTTGCTCCCTGTCTCACCATGTGATATGCTGGCTTCCCCTTTGCTTTCTGCCATGATTGGAAGCTTCCTGAGGTTTCATTAGAAGCCCAGCAGATGCTGGTGCAATGATTGTACAGCCTGCAAAACTGTGAGCCAAATACACCTCTTTTTTAAAAAATAAACTATCCAGTTTCAGGTATTCCTTTATACCAGTGCAAAATGGACTAACACGAATGTATTAGGTTGGTGCAAAAGTAATTGCGGTTTTTGGCATTACTTTTAATGGCAAAAGCCACAATTACATTTGCACCAGCCTAATATGATACTTTTTGTGACTTCCTTACACTCTGATTATACCTTTATATGTGATTCTTTTATTAAATCATTCTTAAAGTATTCATATTTGAGTGTGATATCTGTTGTCCTGAAAAACTTGACAAAGAAACAAACAGGAATCTAGTAATATCCTAAGTATATGCAGGTACGGTTTATTCAATTCAATTTAATTCAGTATCTATTGAGAGCTTGTGAAGCAATTAAGCTCCCAGGAATGGAGGATGTGGAGGTGGGAGGTAGAAAAGTATAACAGTCTCCAGCACCTGCCCCAGAGAACACAAAGCACCATTTACATTTCTATTTCCCAACCTTGCTTTTTGCCTGCCACTGCTCTGCCATGGTTATTTTAAGATGTTTGTCTTCCTACGTTATAAAGTCTGTTGTGAGAGAATATATCTTTTTTCCACTCCACAGACCCATTTGATGATGACAATAGCGCTGTTTATTTACTACATTATGATTCTGAGAGATGTTCATACTCTGTAAAGGTGACTGTTCTTTACCAGAAACCTAAGGCTCACAGGTCACATTAATGTAAACGTGAATGTTTCCTTCCAAATGTACTATTGGTCCTACCAGCTGCTGAACCCCGTGCCCCGGGACTAGAGCACAACATGAAAATGTCCTCCCCACTTCTGATGAGTGAATTTCTTCTGCTTCCCTACTGTAATTCTTCATTTCTGTATGTTTAGAATTTTAAAATAGGCATTAATCAGAACTTGAAGAAAAGTCAGTAAACAGACAAAAATAACAAATAAATGAAGTAGCACACATTCACATATATTCATATTACATTTCCATTATGACATGACTCTTTAATCATGCTTTGACGTTATTCTGGTTAAGAAAAGAATAAGAAGTTTTAAAATGAGAATATCTATAAATAAAGCAGATTTTGTAGAATAGTTTGTTCCCACTGAAAGACAGAAAAATAGGTTGCAAGTAATAAGTCGAAAACTAAAATATTTTTATTAAGTCTAAGAAAAATATAATCTCTATATATTCTGAGAATTTCAAAATTCAACATTTATTCCTTATTTTAAAATCATTTTAAAAGATAATGGAAACTCTATCAGTGGTATTAAATGTTTTTTTTTTTTACTAAGACTAATGTTATATTTAGTTGTAAAATATTTAAAATATTTTTCTATAATCAGAAATAAGAAATAACACCTATAACTTCTATTGTTTAACACTGTACTAAGATACTATTATTACCTAAGTGTCTAAGATACTAATATTAACTTACCCAATTAGATAAGAAAAAGAATTAAAATCATAAAAATTAACAATGAGGACATAATGCTATAACTATTTGCAGAGTATATGATTATATACTGAGAAAAGGCAAGAGAATCAGCTAAAAATCCTCAATACGCAGTAATTCAGTATATACTAGAGTATAACATTAACTTAGAGAAATCAATAATTGTCAAACAAACTAAAAATAATAGAAAATGCATTGGGAAAAAAAAACTCCACAAGGGTAGAAACATAGAATGAGAAACATGCACAGCCATATTAAAAACTCTAAAATTTCCTGAATATAACTATAACAAATGAAAAAATGAAAAAAAATCAGCAATCTTATCCAAGTACATTAATAAATTTATCCTGGTCTCAACAAATATGCTATTTATTAACTACACAAATTAATACCAAATTCCTACAGAATTTTTTTAAAAAATCAAAATTCTTAACACAGAAACAGAAAACCAAACACGACATGTTCTCACTTATAAATTGGAGCTAAACATTATGGACATAAAGATAGGAACAATAAATACTGGGGAATTCCAAAAAGGGAGAAGAAAGGAGGAGGGTAAATGTTGAAAAACTACCTGTGGGGTACTTTGTTCACTACTTGGGCAATAGGACTATCAGAAGCCCAAACCTCAGCATCGTGCGTTATACCCATGTAACAAATCTGCACATGTATACCCTAAATATAAAATGTGTAATAAGAGGCAAAGCCATTGGATAATGATAAATGGTCAATTAAACAGGAAGATACAGCAATTAAAAATATATATGCACCCAACATCAGAGAACCTAAATATATAGAAAGAAAACATTGGCAGATCTGAAGGAAGAAATAGACAGAAATATAATAGTAAGATACTTCAATATCCAACTTTGAATTTTAGAACATCCAAAAATAAAGTGTAATGAGGAAACAGTGTCTCACACAGACCTATAGACCAAACAGCCCTGACAGGCATATATAGAACATTCCAAGCAACAACAGCAGAACATACAGTCTTCTCATGTGTACATAGAACATTCTCCAGTATAGATCACATGTTAGGCCACAAAAACGTCTTAAGAATTTAAGATTAAAATTATACTGATACATTTTACAACCACATGGAATAAAATAGCAGTCAATAATGGAAGTAAACTGGAAAATTCACAAATATATGTAATTAAACAGCTCAGTCTTGAACAACCAATGGGCCAAAGAAAAACCAAATGAAAATTTAGCAAATATCCCATTTCCCAAATGAAAATAAAAGTAGAATATTCCAGAACTTATGGAATGCAGCCAAAGTGATTTTAAGAGGGAAGTATATAGAGAAATGCCTACATTAAAAAAGAATGATCTCAAATGAACAATCTAAATTTCCTTTTCAAGGATCTAGAAAAAAAATAACACTAAGCCCAAAGTTAGCAGAAGGAAGAAGATAATAAAAATTAGAGCATACCTAAACAAAACAGAATAGAACAACAAAAAGATTAGTGAAATAGTTTATTTTTTGAGAAGTTTAACAACATGGATAAACCTTTAGCTAGACTAAAGGGGGAAGAAAGATAAGCTTCAAATAAATGAAATTAGAATAGAAAGAGAATATATAACAACTAATGCCAAAGAAATAAAAAGAATCATATGAGACTTCTATGAACAATTAATTATACAGCGGTACACTGAATAACCTGGAAAAAATGAATACATTCTTAAAAATACAACATACCAAAACTGAATCATGAAGAAATAGAAAATCTTAACACACCAAGAAGCCAAAAGGTAAGTGAATCAGTAATCAAAACTCTCCCAAAAAAGAAAAGCCCAGGAGCAGATGGCTTCAGGGGTGAATTCTATAAAACATTTGAAGAAGAATTAATACTAATTCTTCTTTTTAAATCTTTATTAGTTACAGTTGGTAAATAACAATTATATGTATTTAAAACAAAAATTCTGGCAGAGAAAACCAATAACAGGGACTTTTTAAAACATATTTAATATGCTATATAAATTTAAGTTATAAAAATGTTTAGAGACAGAGTAATACAATATAACAAAATATTCAGAAAGTGACTATAATACTTACGTTAAGTAAATCTGAAGTCGAAAGATTCCCATTTAACAAATGTGTCGAGATCTGGGGGAAAAAGCTGTGTTCATACTTGGACAAAGATGAATTCAAAATGTGGTAATGATTTAAATATAAGAAACCATAAAGTAGAGAAGAAATATGGGAGATTTCCTTCATAAACTCAGAGAGTGGAAATCCTTTATACGTTTGACAAAAATATTCAGAAGCCATAAAAAAGACTGACAAATTTAATGACATAAACACCAGAAACTACTAGATGACAAAAGACAAAAAACACAGTCCAAAGACAAGGACCAAATGGAAAATATCAATAACTAATATCGCATACAAGGACTCCCTAATATATAAAGAAAACCTACAATTAGATAAGAAAGCTGATACTGTTTAGCTCTCTGTCCCCACCCAAATCTCGTCTTGAATTATATGCTATAATTCCCATATGTTGTGGGAGGGACATGGTGGGAGATAATTTGAATCATGGGGGCAGTTTTCCTCATACTCTTCTCATGGTAGTGAATAGGTCTCATGAGATCTGATGGTTTATCAGGGGGTTCCACTTTGAATCTTCTCCATTTTCTCTTACCGATGCCATGTAAGAAGTGTCTTTTGCCTCCTGCCGTGATTCTGAGGCATCCCCAGCCATGTGGAATTGTAAGTCCAATTAAACCTCTTTTTCTTCCCAGTCTCAGGTATGTCATTATCAGCAGCATGAAAATGGACTAATACAACAGCCAATAGAAAAAACAGGCAAAAGATAAGAGACCAATCACAGAAAAGGAAGTGTGCCCTTAAGCACAGAAGAGATGCAAATTCTCACTCATTGTAAGAGAAACACAAATCAAAACTACAATGATATTTCTTTTAATCTATCAGATAGACAAAAACCTAGAAGCTTAATAACTTAGCACCTTAATATTGGTAAAGTTGTGGGCAGAACCAACTGACTGCCCCCTTCCAGGGGACTCATTCATAGCATAGATTTTGCGAATGGCTGTTCACTACATAACTCCAGTTTTGCAATAAGGAGGTCCTCACAATAGGGGCAGCGGAGGGGCTGGCATTCTCATACATTATTGTGACTTTATAATCTCCATAAAATTTAATATGCATACATCTTTGTGACAGCAAATCTTTGAGTTTCTTGTTCATATGCACTACGGCATATGCAAAACAGCTTATGCACAAGTTTTTTTTTTGCAGCATCATTTGTAACATCAAAAAGTTAGTGCTAGTTAAGAGACATATGATGCTTTTGTACAATGAGATAATTGGTCACAAGTAAAGGAATAAAATTCTGTTTCTGTCTTAATAGGAAAAAATGTGCCAGATATGTTAAGTAAAAAACAAAAACAAAACAGATCAAAAAAACAGAAAAATGCATGCAGTATGCTACCCTTTTGTGTAAAAGGAAGGAGAAGACAGAATATATATCTGTACTAGCTTATACACACAGAAAAAAATCGCTGACTGTAAAAACAAACAAACTAGTAAAATAGTTAACGTGTTGGTTGGAGGTGCTAAGCAGATTGTGTGGGAAGGTATCTTAGTTTATGTTGCTATAACAGAATACAATAAACTAAGTGGCTTATTTCTCACAGTTTTGGATGCTGAAAGTCAAAAATCAAGGTGCCAGAAGATTCTGTATTTGGTGAGGGCTTTCTTCCTGTTTTGTAGACAACCATCTTCTCATCGTATCTTCACGTGACGGAGAGAAAGAGAGCTTCACATTATCTTCATAAAAGGGCACTGATCCCATCAGGAGGGTTCCCCTCCATGATCTCATTCAAATCCACTTATTACCCTAAGGCCCCAGCTCCAATCATCACATTGGGAATCAGTATCTCAACATATGAATTAGTTGGGGGACACAAACATTGAATCCATAGCAGAAGGAAAATTTTCACTGTGCACATTTTAATACTTTTTGATGTTTCAAATGTGTGTTTATTACCTATTCATAACTTAAAATACAAGAATTCCCAAGAATAATAGAGACAAGTGGCAGCTCATCAAAAATGAAAACCTGAATGAATAGGTGGCATCTTTAAATTAATCTCTCAAAGAGGAGCAGCACGAATTTACATAAGGTTCAATAAGATATCCTGACCTTTTGTAAACGGATGTTCCTATTGCACTTACTACCTGCTTAGCCACGATTCAAACGAGTTATATTTTGCTGGTAGTCTATTTCTTCTTCAAACATTCGCATTTATCTGAAACCTTGGGATTTCTGTATTTTTATTAATAACAAATTATCCCAAATTCTGTATTTAAATAATGCCATAAATTGAGAGCCAAATATCTGTAATATATGAAAAATTCAACCACAAAGAAAATGCAAATGATGACAGGATTATAAAACAAAACATTCCTTCAGAAAGCAGCATCCTGAATATAATGGGCTGTTGTGTTCCGTATGGGCTGGAAGCCCCAGATGGCCAAGCATTCTGGAGAGGGTAGGAGGTGATGAAAAGTAGGAGGTGACAGAATGTGGTATTTTAGGGGATTTGAACTGAGGGAAAGCACTGAATCATTTGGCTGTGGTATTCATTATGCGTATGAGTGTAAGTGTAAGTAATCTCTATCTGCCATGAATACAGAAAGGAGAGAGACAGAGGGAGTAGTTAGGTATAGTCATAGGGATTTCCCTTGCTTCTAAAATGGGGAAAGATTGAAATAAGTACCTCATACAAACGCGAAAGTTCACAGTAGAAAAAATAAAGATTTTTATGCCTGTAATCCCAGCACTTCGGGAGGCCAAGGCGGGTGGATCACGAGGTCAGGAGATCGAGAACATCCTGGCTAACACGGTGAAACCCTGTCTCTACTAAAAACACAAAAAATTAGCCGGGCGTGGTGGCGGGCGCCTGTAGTCCCAGCTACTCGGGAGGTTGAGGCAGGAGAATGGCGTGAACCCGGGAGGCGGAGATTGCAGTGAGCCGAGATAGCGCCACTGCAGTCCGGTCTGGGCGAAAGAGCAAGACTCCGTCTCAAAAAAAGAAAAAAAAAAAAAAAAAGGAAAGAAAGAAAGAAAAAATAAAGATTTTTGGAGTAAGTGACTAAGTGACTCCGGAAGAAATATCTGAGCTGGGAGATGACATGTGCTAATTAAATCATCTCTGAAAAACGTATTGAAATCTCGTTTATCTAATACTCAAGCAAGAGTATTGAGTTTATAAATGCAATCATCTAGATAAGTCAGCAACTTCTCAAATATTTGGAAATTATCTTCTTCATAGTCGTAGCCTCTAAAGTCATGGAGACTGAGACTGTTGCCAGCAAAATCTTGGTGACTTTTGGCTTCATATATAAATATAAATGTAAATAAAATTATATGTAATTGTATATAAAAGCCTGCTAATATATAAATATATAATCTTGCTCTTTTATAATCTTCAGGAAATTCTATTAAACAATGAAAAATGAAATTTTTATAAACTGTTTCTCACTGAGACTATTTTGTAGAGTGTTGAGTCAATAGGACAGGAGGAAAACAAATCTGCAAACCCATGATTCCACACAACCATTCACCAATGTTGACTGCAGACTAGAGGTTCACAATCTGTGACCTTACAGACTGTGAGGTCATCATTTCTTCTGCCAAAAAAAAAAATGCACATGACCCTGCTGATTGACCTACATTTAAAATGTACGGCTGCTAATCTCCAGGGGTCCTAGAGTGCCACATTCAATGTTATTATATTTGCCTAGTTTTCAGACACTCTCTCCCACAGTTTTTGCCCTTAATTAGCTCATTCTCATCTCTATTCAGGCATGCTATATCTCCATCTTAAATATCATCCCATAACCATAGAATGCTCCAGGCATTGCCTAATTTTATTTTCTCTTTACAATGAAATACCTTGAAAGAGTTATCAGTGTTTCCTATTTTATTATGTATTTTTTCTGTTCTCTAGCCAAAGGCCATAAGACTTACCATCCATGGATACTTCTCTTATCCAAGTCATCTGTTATTCTATTGCCACATCCAATGGTCATTTTCAATCTCTTCACTCTATATGTCAAGCAGCGTTTAACAGAGTGTATTACATTTAATTTTTTAAATCTTGTATTTATATATCCTTTAGCATATTACTCTTTTTTAACTTTTATTCTATTATTGGCTTCATCTTCTTGTTTTATTTTGCTAGATCCTCTCCATCCTCCTCAACTTTTCTATATTTCAGAGAAGCCCAGGGCTCAGTGTTGAATCTCTCTTCTAGCTAAACTCTTTCTATACAGTTTTTTGTGTCCATGGCTTTCCATTTCATCTATTTCTGAAGACTCAAATCTATTGTCTGAATTTCTACCAAAAACTTGGAATTTTGAAGTAATCCTGCATACATTTCAAAGTTCAGTGAAGGTTCCATTAGCATATGAGCAGCAGATCTAAAATGTGTTTGACTTATTGGTTCAGGTTTAATCCTAAGATATTAACTCGTATTTTGCCTTTCTTTATTTCTCCCAGTTTGAGCTCCTCACACCCTGGAGCTCATCTCACTTTTTGCTTTGCTTCCAATTGTTTTCCCATTTTATCTTTCCTTTATACTTGTAGATTTTTTCCTCTGTGTTGATAGTACCAACCACATCGTAGGAGATTGAAATAAATTACATTTTCTGATTGGATAGTTAGTCTCTCATAGTATATCAGACAGATTAAGTTATAGAAAATGTCTGAAGTTTTAAAACCTACATGAAATATCCTTGCCAAAGACCTTAAACTAGCTATTAAGTTTGGCCAGAAGTCTTGTTTCTGAGCTCTTGGCACACTGGCAAAACACATGCATGGTTTTTAAAAAAAAATCACTATCATCAAAAAGAACTGCTATGTTTCTGATGGTAACAAGTGTAAAAACATAGCAATCACCCTATTATCTGGGTGATAAGTAGTCTACAGAATAAAGGCGCATTCTATGCCAGATTCCTGGCTTTGATTGATACGTTTAATACTCTTTCAACATTTGCAAGTAGGAAATTAAATTCCTTTTATTCATTTCTAAGTCCTTCCTGGATTTTCTTCTCTTTCCTTTTTCTTTGTTTGGTGGCAATGTAGGCAGAAATTAAGATCTTGTTGATGATGCTATGGGGTCTTTTGATTCCGCTATAGTGCAGCAGGGGTTTATAACTGTACCTCCCACTGGCAAAATATCAAAACAGTTACACAAATGCATCTTTTACTTTTAACAGATGAGTGTCTTGTGGTGGGCCAATCAAAATATAGCTACAAAGTATTTCAATTATCTTCTTGCAGATAAGTTTATTTTAGAAAAAAAAAGGTGGCATAATCATTTTCAAAGAGCACAGATTGTGAGGTCATTATTTCTTCTGCCAAACAAATGAATCATTTTGGGCATCTTCACCTCCCACATTTTCCATGTTACAGCTAAAGAAAGCAAGAACTTCCTGAAAAAGAAATAATTTTTACAGAGGCAACTTTTCAAATACTCTAAACGAATTATCTTCGTACTCTACACTGGGTGGTTATACCACCTGAATAATGTATCACATTTGAGCCCAAGTCAAATGTAATTTGAAAAAATACTGAACCTTTACAACACAGAGAGCGTATATACCAGGTTAGTGTTGCTGCTTTATGTCAATTGCCAACTGTTCTACAGGAACACCTATTAAATAATATTTCATCTTAAACAATTTTATGGCAGAGAGCGGAAAAGAAGTTTTGCCACAAAATCTATCCCATTGATTTGCTGAAAGGAGAATCTAATTTAAGCACAATAATGCATTTACAGGCATAACACCCTTTTGCTAAAATCTGTCTAAAATAACGGTGCTAAGCAATATACTAGTTAGACCTGAACTAGTTGTGCTATGACAAGCAACTAGCTTAATTGTATTTAAGTTGTGCTATGACAAGCAAGTAGCTCAACTGGGAGCAGTGTGTGACTGGCAAAAAAGAAAATATGTACCACACAAGCATTACTAGGAATAGGCTGATTAGGAATTCATTGTGAGGGAATACATAAGGTAGGAAAGAGGTCTTTGGTTTATCAGCTACATTAAAGAATTAATGCTTTTCTAGTCTCACAGAGTTCCTCATTTTCTTTAGAAGTCTTTAGACATTATCTTAAATGCTACAATCCATTAGATTACTTTATGAAAATATGTACTTCTTGCTTGTTCTCCCAAGTATACCGAAGGTAGCTTGGGCACAGCCCTTTGCACCATTATGCACTGATCTTTCTGTCTTCAAGTGCTTCTTGAAGAAATGTACTACGTTTCCTTCTCTTGATAATGCCACAGTGCCTGGCAAGGTGCCTTACTGGAGGTGTGGATTAAATATATTTTAACTTTATTAGAGTCCATTTAAAAGATAAATATTTGTTCATGTCAATCAGCTTTAAAGTTCTCAAAACAAATTCTATATTTTTATGATAAATATTTTAAATTCCTCATGGAATCCTTACATAAGTTTATTAATTATTAGAAGTATGTTTAATAGGTAAAACATATATTTTTCATGTTTTATGATGTTAAAAACACAATAAGACACTAACAATAATTAGGACTATATAAAATGTTAAATAAAAATACATCTTTATAGGTTTTTTTTCCTATTTGCAAAACTTTTTATGTGAATTAGCCCTCTTGTTAATGAAGAGGTTCTTGAGATAGCTATAAAAACATAGGTATAGTATATGAAGAATTTGAGATTCCAAGGGGTTGGAGATGGCTTTCCAAAATCAGCTGGTACATCCAAATAGGGTGAATAGTTTATAGAAAATAAATTCTCCCTAACCACCCACATGGGCCCATCAAACTGAAGACTGTGGCCAACACTGTGAAGTCAGCAGTGCCTCATCAATTCTCCCAGGGTCAAGACCCAAAAGAAGCTATTGGCACAATCTGGGCCTTGGATCTTGGATTCAAAATTTCTGGTCAAGGGACATAAATAAGCAATCTTAGAAAACAAATTGACTGCCATTTTAGTCACTTGTTTCAAAAGGAAAATAATTCAGAACCTGGTTAGATTTTGAAACTCAAAGCATAAGCAAGATATACATCATAGCATCACACTCACTGCCTGTTCCCTGTTTTTCATTCCTTTCCTCAAACATATATTTGTCCAAAGCTTGTCTAAAGCAATGAACTGCAGATTCATTCATCATTGCTTTATTTTCTCCTAATATCCATGCAAAGAGAGTGTAGGACTGGAATTCTGGAGACCTGTTTCTTTGGTTAGTTTCTTGCCTCTTTTATTAGTTAGTTCTGTTACTTTGGCAGTTCACTTCATTTTCTCTCTGATAAATCCACTCTTTTTACATGTAAAATTAGTGATCTGAAATAGATAAGTCTCTCTAATTTCTCCAATGTCTCTGAATCTGTAAGAAAAGTTAAGAATATATAATAAATCATTTTCAAAATGTAAGAAAAAGTTATAGTAAACGATTCAAGTCATGACACTAAGTAATGTCTAATTCTGGGCTTTGCTAAAGTGTCAATTTGAAGAGAAAATGTGTGTATCCAATTTTAGCTGCCTAATGTAATTTGAGTAAAATGACAGAGCCACTGATTCAATACCATTACCAAATTAGTTTGTCTGTAACCTCCAGCATTGCACTCCGTTAAATTACACACTTATTAACAATACATTTGAAGAGATATTTGTAGAAAGAATCTTCGTACAAGTTAGTTACAAGCCACAATTTTAGCCTTAGAGTCCAAAATCCCTTACAGTACATGCTAAGCCTTAACCAGACAACAGTATTATTCTGACACATGTACAGATAGCACATTGCTATCCTTGCCCTGGCCACTCCTTGATCTGCTGGCTGTGCTCTGTGCTATTTCCCTCTAAAGTGGCCTTTCAAGCAGCAACTCAGATTACACCCACCATGCAGGAAGCACTGCAACTAGAAGTGATTTTTTTCCTTTCACCCAGCCAGCCACCCACCCACCTCGTTCACTCCCACCTTCCACCCCACCAGGTTCTAATTGTGTCTATCCTCTTTTGACTCGAGTGTTTGAAGTCACCTCTACCCACGTGAACTCCATGCTGGTCTACAGTGGTGTAGCTAAGGGTTTGTTTCTTAAGGATTTGCCTCTAGGATTACTACTCTCTTTCCCTTGCTAGTTCCCAGATTCTTTGGACTCCAACCATACCTTCCACTAGTTCTGAACTCTTGATTATGTGACCTCAGATATGATGCCTCTTATCCTCAGCAATTCATATTTTTACCTGCTGTCGCCAATATTCAAATGTTAGGGTTTTTTATTATTTCTGTTGACTTTTGTAGAATTCACCCAGACATTTTTTTCTTTTGCATTTCTGCCTGATTTCTTCGTACATTAGTTATGTTTCATGGCATGAAATCATTATTTGCATACTTACTATAAAATCTTACAGTAAAAACACTTTATCTTTCCTTTCATATCTCTATGGGCCTGCATTTATATATGCAAACATGTATTTGTATTTGGGACATTAATAGCAAAATATGTTATCATATAATTTATACAGTAACATAGCTACTGGTAATATGGTCTGAAAAATGCCATCGGCTTTTGCTTTTTTCTTTGCCAGTGCTCTGATACTCACATTGCTAATATTTCTGTTGAAGGTTTTATTTAAAAACCTGAGGTAAACCTCTTTAGTGTTAAAGAATAATAAAATAATTACCAAGATATTTTTATTTTTAACAACCTAGAGTAGATGCTTTGATTACTACATGAACTTTTTATTTTTTGTTTTACCTCAAATTACCCTTAATATTAGCATTTAGTAATTAAAAAATCCATCACACTAGTGTAACATAGAACTTTTTTTTCTCTTGAGTTGAAATTCGAGTATTAAAAACATGCATGTTCTTAGCTTAAATATAATGCCAGGTTACATTTATAATGTGTAAAGAAGCAATTGTTTTCTAACTACAGCCTAATAAATCGGTACATTGTGATACCTGCTACAGGCAGTAAAGCAGTAGTAATAAATACAAGAATCATTAAATAAACTTTCATTATGCCTCACCGTTCAAGGGTATCATTTTTTCCCTCGGGTTCAGTTTTTAAGAAGAGTGTATGATAATGTCATGGGATTCTCAGGGTGTCACTTCACCAGCTGGAAACCTATGTGGCCAGTGGTGCCTTTGCCTGAGTTTTGCTTGGGCCCACAGGTCTCATTCCACCCACTCGGCCTGGCAGGCTGCAATCGGCTGGGGCTGGATCCCTGAATCCCATACCTGCCAAGGGCGGGCCAGGTGCGGAGTGGCGAAGGGTGCATGAGTGAGCATGAGGTCTGGCCACTGTGCATGGCCAGGCAAGCTGGCTGTGGTGGGGCGGGGAGCTATAGGCACCAGCATGGGAGCCAGCTCCCTGCAAGGCTGTGGCTGGACCAAATGTACCACAGCAGCTTCCACGGCTGGCACTGAGGAATGCAGTGGCATCCGGAAGCTTGGAGACACCAGGAACCATAGAGCCCCAAAGAGGGTGTCATAGCCCTGGCTCAGGGATCTCCTAGGCCTGGGCTCCCAGAAGGGCTGCAGCTCTTCTCTCCTTCTCTTGTCTCTCCTTCTTGTCACCTACAATATGGCGAGCAAGGGATGTGTTTCAGCCCTGTTTGTGTTACAGCCCTTTTGCAGGTCCCGAGTTCTTGTCCTGTGTCCAGGAAGAATGAGGTAGACGGACAAGTGGAGGGTGAGCAAGGCAAAGAGGAGTTTTATTGAGCAATGGAACAGCTCAGAGGAGACCTGCATTGGGTAACTCCTCCCTGCAGGCAGGGTGTCTTGATGAGTGTTCAGCTCTCAGCAGAGACCTTGGAGTGGGTAGCTCCTTTCCGCAGCTTGTAGTCCCATCATCTCCTTGAGTCAGATTGAGTCCAGGGCTTCTATGGGCCTCAGAGGGAAGGAAGCACATGCCAATTGGTCCATGGGCAGCCATGGGCGGGCCTGGAAAAAGCACCATAAGCTTCCACTCTGGTCGTGCAATCCGCAGCCTGAACCCCAGGCTTCAGGCCCTCCCAGCCTGAAGGTGGGGCTTCACTGAGGACCCGCCCACTTCTGCCTAGGCGCCTGTCTGCCTCCTCCCACCCTTCATGGTACCCAGGCTGTTCATGTCACGGGGTGCCTGCAGGCCAGCACCGAGTTGCCCTCATCTCCCCCTCAGCTTCCCTCCCATGCTTGTCAGTGCCCAAAGTCTGGATGGGGGCAAGCAGCAAGGGGCTGCTGGCATGTCAGCCCTGCCCCAAGCATGCACATACCCAGCCGGGTGGTGACAGTGCCTGAGCTCTGTCCCAACCTTGCTCCGAGATCAGAGTGGACTCTGGGAGTAGGGAGAGGTCAGCAGCGAGTGCAGACACCTCCGAGCCTGCGGGGGCAAGGGACCTTCTTGGGCCCCCAAGAATGCAGAGATGCCCAGGTCCCCAGCCAGGGCTTGGGTGGCTGCAGCTGTGCCCAGGAAGGTGGCGCTCCTGCCTGCTGCCAGCCCTAAAGAGCACAGGGATGCCTGAGTTTGCAGCTGCAGCTGCACCTGGGGAGCTCAAAGTTCCCACCCTGCTGACTCAGAAGGGAGTGGGTCTCCCACTAGCTCTGTGGAGTGGGCAGCCAGCCCCAGAGGTGTCTTCCCCATTGCAGCTGGCATCATGTCAGTGGCCTCTCTAGATGGGCCGCTACTGTCAGCAATACTTAAGTAAGGTAGACAGCTGTCAGTCTGACAGTTTATCCAAATAAAAATTAAAAGCTAAATATTTACTGATGTACAATGATATTGAAAATAAATTGACTGCTCTATATAACTGTTGCAATATTTGTTTAAATATTTAACTGTCAACTAATTATAATTTAAAAATATATAACCTAAATGTGAAATAACCCAAGGTTTTGGCATCTAATTCTATTTCCTATTTATTTAACCTTGTTCTATAATCTATGTTCTATTTTTTATTGAAAATTTCTGGTAATTTATTGGTTCAAGGGAATGATTTTCTATAGCTTTTTTTTTAATCATCAGGATCAATTCAAACATGACATTTATATTATTTAGGAAATTTATTTATTTATTTATTTTGGCATCAGACACTCCTAGGTTCTAGTATTGGGTTTGCCACTTATTTGTCATGTAACCTCAGGCATGTGCCTAAACTTCTCAAAGCTATATTTCCCTCCTTTATGAATAATGGATAATACCAAAAAAGCAGTTTCATTCTATAGGTGATATTATTTTCAAAATAAGCTATGCAATGCACTTAATATAGCATCTGACTCAATGGAAGTACGCAAAAGGCATGACTAGTGTTTCGGTTTTTGTTGTTTAGTTGTCACAGACATCTAATTTTTTATTTGTTCCTCAGTTTATTTGTATGCTATTTGCAGGCATGCTCCTTTCAGAAGATTTCAAGAAAAAAGAATGATTTTTATCTTGCTTAGTGCTCTTGTCAGGGGAGAAGCAAGAACATTCAATGAAGGTTTTTAAAAAATACACTACCTAGGAGTTAATAGTAAAAGATCTCTCTCTCCTAATAGTGTAAACCTGGCAATCCTATTATACCACAAGAACTCACTTATATCTGATAATTTAAATGACTTTTCAAGTTCCCACTTCGCTGTTTCATTTCATTGTTTTGCCATTTCATTGTTTCCTAATAAAGACCTTCCCTAGACCTGTTATTTGCTCAATGAACAAATCACAAAAGTATGTGTAAGTAATAAGGAACACAGAACCGAAACTAGCCTCAGCAGATATTTTGATTATCTTAACTGAATAAGGAAGACTGCAAACATAATTTAGTTACATTTGTATAATATGTATACATAACTTATCAGGAAAGCAAAGCACAATTCAATACTTAGTTCGAAAATTTCATAATGTTTTCTGTTAGTGATCTTATTTCTATTACAAGTTGTTCAAAGGATAGTTTAAGTAATTTTAATAAATCTTATTTTTACCCTAAATGTGAATCTATTCAAAATTACTCAAATAATATATGTTGCATGCTTGTTCTTAGAAAAAGAATCAAACACTATAGAAAATACAATACAAACCCACTTCTACACCAAATCCCTTTCCTCATCCCCCACCCTCATACACATAGGTCCCATAATGGCCTTTTAAGAAATGCTTACGAATGTCATTTGTGTCATCTATCTCTGCTATTGCTGGAGCGTAGAATTCTCACTTTGAAGAAATGAGAAGGATGTAAGAACTATGAAAAAAACTTTAGGGGAGATGAAATGGTAAAAGAAGCAGCAACAGAACACAAGCAGTTTATATACATTAATCAACTGATTCCTTACGACAGCTCCATGAGGCACATGTTATTCTCAGGTTTCATTACAGTGAAGTACAGCTTAGGCTAAGAGATATCCTCAAGGTTATGTTATCAGCAAAAGGCAGACCTGGAATTCAACCAAATTCTATTTTTTCCAGTACTTCAAATGTAGCAGTTACATCATGCTACCTCTCAATGGCTTTTTCTTTGGGATCTTAAATATTTTTTTTGAAATGGGAAGTTTTTCTAGACACGTGCATGAACATGCACATGCATACACATATATACATGCATGCATATGAATCTTAGGGCGTACAATAAACAGAATAGCATTTTTGCAAGGATTTAGATGAATAATATGAATAATCATAACTTTTGAGTTCATTTATTACAACAACTGAAGATACCAGAGGGAAATTATCTTTTTTAATACATTTATATTTTCAGAGCAGTTTATGTTCAGAGGAAATTGAGTCAAAGATACAGATTCCCCTGCACCAGCTGCCCTCACACACGCATAGTCTCTTCCATTATCAACATCCACACCAATGACATTTTATATGGTGAAATTCTACTTAGATAATAAATGAGATAAATATCATCTCATACTTATGAATATTTTGACCACAGGTGGGTCAGTTGACTAGAGGACATTATTGTTTGATGGGTATAGGCAATATATTCCAAAATTCCCACTATTCCAGTGATTTGGCATTTCAGAGCTTTGGGTATTGCCATCTCGGTAAACTCTGAATTGTAGCTGACTGGTAAATACCACTGGACACTCTCTAAACATAACCAAAACAAAAAAATCAACCTAACTATAGAATTTTCTAGACACAATCTGACCATTTACATTCAGAGTCTCCCTCCGGTCAGTCTTTTCTGGTTCTGCATAACCCCCTACAGCTGTGGATACCAGCACTCAGGCCATTCCTTGGCACTCTCTTGACAGAGGCACGTTTCTCATTGAAAGGTGGTAGTTAACCTTTCAGAGATGGAAATAGGATCTTTTTTCCTGAATTGGAGCCTGCAGCACATAGGTAAGAAGGGAGAATCTTGTCCATTGCAAAGGTAGAGAGCCAGAGCCCTTTTCCTGTATATCATGTTCAAATCTATTGACAAACAGAATATATCATTTGATTTATTTCTCTGTATGCTTCTAAATGACATAGTCATTTATCAGCTATGAAGTCTAGCCAGTCAGTTCTAATAATGTTCCAAATTTTGTAAAAAAGCAATACTTCTAAAAATTACCAGAAAACAAGACATGCATGAATATTTAGGATAGATGACATAAGACACATATACTTTCTTTAACTTAATCAAAGATATTTCTTCCACCTAATGTATACATTAATGATTTCTGCAGGCAGAAGGAACAGGATGGGGAAAAAAGAGGATATGAAAAAGGATCTTTCAGGGAAATTTTAAATATATTATGAATTTAAAATATAACTATAACTTATCTAAAATATACACATTTATGATTTTGTCCTGTATAGTTATTGGATTTATTAGAAACTCCAAATAATTTATATTATAATAAATAAAATTAAATTGAATACTAAAACACTTAAAAACACAACTGTCTATGTGATTAATTAAAAAACTCTGATTTACTGTCATCATTGTTTTTATTTCAGTCATTTGTTGCTGACAGAAAAGAGTTCTTACATTAAGTGTGTTATAGATAGTCCTCTTTTTTTCGCTAGAGTCCAATGAATGTTATAGATATTTCTGATGCCTAGTTACACTTATACAAATTATTAAATAAAAACATTTCAGTCTTAGTTGATAAAATGCTCAAAGTTCAAAATATAACATGTGCTTTCCCATAATTAATATACAAGAGGAAGACTTCTCTTTCTCTTGTGAAATATTTAGTGGATTATTTCTTATTCACTTTTTTCTTTGCAAAGCCTACCATCTTTCATTTGGATAAGGTCTTATGGAAATGTCTGGAAGGAGCAAATGCATAACATACCAAATCAAGTCCTTCAGGCAATACATAATTCATATCAAAAAGCAAAGCTTTATTTTTAAAATGCAGAGATTTGTTAGTTTGAAATGGTATTTTTCTTTTCAGTTCAGTGAACCTAAGAATTAGTCCTAAAACAGTTTAGCACCTTTCTCATCTGTTTCTAATTACAGAGCTCTTTTACTATAAGTTATAGTGAATTGATATTTGGCTCATGCATATATAATCGCTGGAGTGTGTATGCCTTCTCTCTTATCTAGCACATGCTTTCCACACCGGAATATATGAACAGGTACTCTTTAAAATAATAATAAATACATATATGTACTATGGGAGCAGCTCACTTCTCTTTTATTTCATTTCTCCATCTGCCAACATTTATTAAACATAACATTTTGGGAAATAAACCAAACAATAACCTCCAGATAGGCTTTAGTTCTCCACCTGTTTAATCATTTTTTTATTCTGGGATTTTTTGACAAGTTCCAAATAATTAACTAATAGTCACTGGCACATATTCCTTCTCTTCACCATTAGGATCACGGGAACATGCAAAAGATACAGAACATATATTTGCCTTCTTATTTAGTTGGGTAGACCACTTTTATTTTTGGCTCACATTTTAAGCAAATTTTACCAGGCCATTTGCTAATTTCACTTTTCAGATGAGCCTTACCTGACCATTCTATTTCAAGTTGCCACTCTTCCATTCCATTTCCTGTACCTTGCTCTTTTGCTTTTTGCCTTACAGCTTAGTGGCATCCTAGCATCCCTTTTGAGTAAGGAAGTAAGGATCCACATTTAGTACATTGATATATCCCAAGACCCTAGAACAGTGCCTAGCATATAGCTTACTGTTACTAAATATTTGCTAAATGAACGAATTTTCATTTTGTTGGTGAGGAAACTGAGGCGTAGAGGGATTATCTAGTTCACCCAAGCTTGTACAGCTAGGAAGATGCTGACTGGCTCTAAAGTCTCAGCTGCTCCATCACACTTCCTGCACTCAGGGGGATCAATTGCTCACCTGCTTAAGTAGCCTGGAACTCCACTGCTCTGACTCCCCACTGAGACAAACATAATTTTGCATTCTCATGGTACAATATAGTAAGAACAAATTGACTAAAAGAATGAATGTTGGCTTTGAGGAAAATCATTTCTGAGGAAAGAGCAAGCTGAAGAAAGTTTCCTTTCTAGTCTACTGGTGGCATACCTGCCATATTTCATAACTGGGTTAGACCTTTTTTTGAACACCCCCTTTGTTATGTGCTGAATCATGTCCCCCCCAAAATTCATATGTTGAAGTCTTAACCCCTCTTATCTCAGAATGTGACTATATTTAAAGATAGGTATTTTAAAGAGGTAATTAATGTAAAATGAAGTCACATAGGTCAGATTGGTCCTAATTTCATCTTAATAGTGTTCTTATAATAGGTGATTAGAACACAGACACATACAGAAGGAAGACCATGTGAGGATGCCAACAGAAGGTAGCCATCTGCAAGCCAAGGAGAGAGGCCCCAGAAGAAACCAAACCCTGCTGACACCTTGATCTTGGACTTCTAGCCCCTAGAACTTTGAGAAAATTATTTTCTGTTGTTAAATACCATCCAGTCTGTGATATTTTGTTATGGTAGCCCTAGAAATCTAGTCATGGAAAAACATAGTAATACTTTTATCCAGACAGGAAATGCAGAAAGGACATTTTCTTTTCTTGAAATGTGTGTATGTATGTGCGTGTAGCCAGTAATTAAAATGAAATAAAAATACGAAGGCAATGAATTAATATTTTAACCACGTCAATGTGTATTTTGAGAAAATAAAAAGGATGGAGAGTTGCATAAAGAAATGCTTCCAAAAAGAGAAAACTCTGTATGGCTCAGAGACATTTTTGCGCCAAGAATACCAGAATTCGAATAATTAAAGTTCTGTCTCTTCTTCTTTAGGATTAGTATGCTACTGTTTATCTCACATCTAATGTTTAAACATAGGAATGTGTCTTAGCACAGAAGTGGAGACGTAAGCTCCACCCAAAAATAATCCAATTGATTCAAAATGATTAGGAGCTTATTCTCAAAGCAAATATGTGCAGGTCAGTTCATGTGTGTCTAAATTATTTATAATTTAGAACGACAAAAAGCCTTTTGGGGAGGTGTATTATATCACTGACATTGTTTAGAATTGCTAGTGCGTTGTGATGGTAAAAAGGACAACTTTCAATGGACATTATTGTGTTTAAGCTTTTTGTAGATGATGCAGCCTCTTATTGCTGAACTGCCTCCCCCATTAGACCAAATCCCTTTTAGTTTTACCCATATATAGTTTCTTCCTCAACAGTAACCTTCCTTGCTTTCCATTCTGGTATACTTCGAATTATTTTTCAAATAAAACCTCCTTTGTTTGTCTACATAGTACATCGCAGGTTTTATCAGCATGAAAATGAGGTTGCAATGGCATCCTGAATATTGACAAAATGAATAATTCCAAGGTGCCTTTTGGTTTTGTAGCAAGATGAACTGTTTTTCCATGGAATTATTTCTTCTAAAGTAATTTTTAAAATTTCTAAGCATTGGCACAGGCTTGTGCTTCAGTCCTGTTGGGATTCTTTCAGTGTTGATCTGGGAGAAATGCGTTGTGCAAGGAATTCTGTTTTGTTTGTTTGTTTGTTTGTTTTTTCTGAGATGGAGTCTCCCTCTGTCACCCAGGCTGGAGTGCAGTGGTGTGATCTCAGTTCACTGCAACCTCCACCTCCCGAGTAGCTGGGATTACAGGCACCCACCACCATGCCCGGCTATTTTTTTTTTTTTTTTTGTATTTTTAGTAGACACAGGGTTTCACCATATTGGCTAGGCTGGTTTTGAACTCCTGACCTCAAATAATCCGTCCACCTCGGCCTCCCAGCATGCTGGGATTACAGGCGTGAGCCTCTGTGCCTGGCCAGCAATTCTGTTTGAAGCTTTCCTCCCTATTTGCTTGGGAGGTAGATGCTATTGTTGTCTTCCTGACTGTGTAGGAGATTCTCAAATTCCCCATGTGTCTTTCCTCATCTGGGTGATAGGAACTGTCAGAAATCACTTTGTAATAACAGAGAGAAGTCCTCCTTGTTCTGGTAGTTCTCAGCCAAAAGGCAGAGAAGTTGAGAAGACCAAGAACAAAGGTGCATTAATAGCAAAATGCTGTATTCCTTTGTGTTAATTTATTTAGTTTTCAAACACTAATGTGCCAGGAATTGCTTTAATGTTAATTAGTATTATATATTAATACTAATATAAATATTAATATATATATTATTAGTAACATAGTATCAGTTAATACTTAAATATTTCGTATTGGTTTACCAATACTGACATGTTTAATATTTGTCACAGCAGTAGTAAACAAATATTACTACTGCCATTATGTGAATAAAGAAATTGAAGCACAGAGCTGGTAAGTAACTTGCCCAAGCTACACGGCTGATAGGTGGTTAAACTACAATTTAAAAGAAAGCCACATGTCTCCAGAACCTGTGCTATCAGCCTTTAAGCTGATAGCAACCTGTCACAGACACACAGTCATTGTCCCCAGACTTTCACACCGTGCTCTAATTTGTTAAATTGAGTTGGGTTTGAAATCATGCACACATTTCCTCTGACCTTTTTCAATGGTCTATTTCTTCTTACTGAGTTCCCTGTTTCCCTATCTGCTACAACCCATTGTCTTCTTTTTGGAGAAAGTCTTCTTTTAAGTCTGTGTCTTTTTCTGTCCTTTGGTCTCCATTTGAGCGACCCATGCCCATCAAGTGTAAAACCTGCTTGACTGAAGAGAGAAGAACCCACAGCTATGGGATTGTGCAGGAGTTTGAGTTATAAGATCGTTGAATATAGTCAGACGTTTTTGCTGCTGTTGTTGTTGTCTTAAATAAATGTCTAAGGTAGGAGAAAGTTGTTAGATGTCTTTGGGAGATTAACAATGCTGTTGGGTATAATTTAAACCCAATACAAGAAGTGTTGGAATGTAATCTTGGATATCCTAAAGATCCCTTTATTCCTTCAGCGTTATCAAAAACACAAAATCTACATTTTATTTTTTTTCTTTACACCTCTGATCCTAAACTGCTACCTCATAGGAATTTCTAGTCTGTTGATGGATTACTTTAAATATATGTGTGTTATTTTCTTTTCTTTGACTCTCATTCTCAGAATAAAAAGAAAAGCAAAGCCATTTTTTTTTGTCTCTCTCCTCTGAGGAAGAGGGTTAAAAGAGAAAAAAAATTCTAAAAGCTGGGACAGAACAGTTTACAATTAGAGAAAAGGAAGGGTATAAGAAAGTGTCTAGAAAGTGAGTAGTAGTGTCATGTGCCCTAAGTCAAAAGAGACCCTTTCAGGTAGTAGGAGTTTCTCTGGTGTCCAGTCCCCACAGTTGCAAAATAAGGAAGAAATTTAAAAGCTCTTATGATTGAAACAGGTATACAGACTAGCCTTAGACTTACTTGCAGAATTAGGGTAGGAAGGAGTCACAATGACATTTTAATTGTATTTCTCTGCCATGAACTTTCTGCTATGCTTCTTTAAAAATTCATTTTATTAAAATATGGACAAATTGAGTCATTTTATGCAGTGCAGTTGAATGAACTTTTGAAAATATTTTCTAATTATTTAGAAATAATGTAGTGTTAGACTGCCAAGTCAGACTCTCAGGAATCAGAGATTTTAACCCATACTCAATTATATTAATAATGCACTGGATACTGGCAACCAGAAGGCAGAGGTAAAGCATGTAGTAATCTGAAATCATCAACAAAGCTCCCTGTTCCTTTCTACTCACAATAAGATGCCTTTTTTTCCAAATTTAATCTACCCAGTTGCAAGTGATACATGCGGCAGCAAAAGACACTTGAAGAATATTGTAATATTATTTTATGTGTCAACTTGACGAGGCCCTGCGGTGCTCAAATATTTGATCAAACGTTATTCTGGGTGTTTCTGGGAGGATGTTCTGAAAGAGATTACCGTTTGAACTGGTAGACTGAGTAAAGAAGATGGTCCTCCTTAATGTGGGCAGGTCTCATCCAATTATGTGATGGCCTGAATAGAATAGATGTGCTGACTTTCTTGTGAGTAAGAGAGAATTCCTCCTGCCTTACTGCCTTTGACAGGGACATCAGTTGATTCTTGACTTGGGTTCTCCTGGGTCTCTAGTTTGCCAACTGCAGATCTTGGGACTTCTCAGCCTCCATAACTACAATAGCCAATTCCTTACAATAAATCTCTATCTACTTATTTATTCATATCCTATTGGTTCTATTTCTCCCAAGAACTCAGATTAATACAGGTACGAATGAAGTCAGGTCAAAAGTGGAGCATCTCTCTTTTGCACCCCACTTACTTATTACATAGCATATGTGACATTTTCTTGTGAACTATGCCCACAATTTCATAAACTTGAAGTTTATTACACAGGTATATCCTGGTAAAACCTTTTCCTGAAAAGACTTTTCCATTGCCTCCATTTCACCTGTTTCACTAATAAGTATTATTAGAGTGTTTACCAAGAGGTCTGGAGTGCATGTTTAAAAGGGAATTTGCTGTGCTCAGCTTTTTTTGGTTTTGGTATGTTGGCAAAGGGAGAATATAGGTCACAGAACTACAGGTAACGTTTCCTTCCTAATCCTTTATTTCATGTCAAGACATGTACTTGTTACAAAATGCCACTGAGATCATGGAGGAGTGCCACATACTGCTCATGCTTTCAGTTTACCCTTCTCTAATGTAGGAAAGGCGGCATGGCTTTCACAGTTGAAGTGACAATCCAGTCAATTCTGAAGACTCCACTGACATGCAGACTTCGTTAGCCGGAAAAAAGAGCCCTCCTGGAACATGGAGAACTGCTCATAGAAATAACTGATTCTCTATGTTGTTGCAGAAGCATGTAGGGTACAAGAAATGGGTCTCAGAGAAGGTCCTGAAGAGCTAGAGATACCACTGAAATATATTTAAATTAATCCATTAGTTCATGCTGAACACTGACTAAGGCATCTTTCCTAGTTCTGGTACTTACAATTCACATTTTATGCCCAAGAGAGCTGTGTGTACATATGAATAGAGAGAAATAGAAGTATCTGAACACAGAAGCATCTTAGCTTGCTTTGTAAGCTATTGAGTCAGGAAAAATAAGCATAATCTGATGAACCAATAAACTGCAGCTTCTCACTAACACACCCACGTACACACACACATATCACACACATATCGCACAACTCTCACCATGTAAACATAAGTAAGTGATTAAGCAGAATTACCACTCCCTATAAAGCTGGTAGAGGATAAGGTTTCTCAGCTTCCTCCAATATGGTTCAATTATAAAAACTCTCACCAAATGTTTTAATATCAGCTGTCAATCTCTTGGCATCAGAAGAAACAGCATCCCACATAATTGCTTTTGGCAGCCTATTAGTCAGCAAAAAATTTATGTGAGGAAAGGTTCTTTTTTTCAAGAAGGATAGATCTTTTTTGACTCACAGATTTCAGTTAGTCACTTTCTAACTTTAAATTCTTGCTTATATGTGTGAAAGAAATAGGTGGTCTATTTTTAAGGGCTATGTGATACCTTTCAGGATATTGTGTGCATTCAGATGATGGAAATTTGTAGAAATCAAAAGTCCTGGTAGAGAGTAAGACATTTTAAATGCTGCATCTTTTTGTTTTGTTATGTGTTTATGAAGCATTGATTTAAGCAAAAGATTCCCTCCCCATAAAATGGCAATACACAGAAATATACTGATAATAAGAAGCGCTTGATACAGAATTCTTTTATGGTTTTTATTTATTAGAATTTATATAAGTGAATACGTTTGTGCAAAATTTACATTTCTAATGCTTCTTACAATTAACGTTAGAAGATATGTACCTTAGGTAAAGACATTCTTATCCTTACATGCAAGTATAATTAAATGTTTCTTCTCTTCCTTGAAGCAGGAAGCACAGTTTTAAGCTTTATAGATTTTCACCAGATATTTTAATATTAGTTTATGTTTGGGAGCACAAGACTCTGACATTCGCTTATTAGAGGAATGTCACTGGGTAGAGCACAGACCTTGGACAGAACCATATTTGTTTGTTGGCTCAGCAATGTTCTATCTCTAACCAGGGAAAATTTGCTTAATTTCTCTAATTCACTGTTTCCTTATAACTAAAATAGCTAACTCATATCTTTGATTGAAATAAATCTATGAAAGCAGCTAGTCATTTCTTTACATATATATGAAGGTGATAATAAATGCTAATTATTATTATCAATGTCATCTTGAATTTTAGTGATTAAAATTATAATGGATATGCTTTATAAAATTGAATGCAAATAAGAATATATATATATGTGTGTGTGTGTATATATATATATGTTTAAGGGATATATAGATATAGCCTTTTGGGAAGCAAGTAGTATCTTATCAATACATTAAACTTTCATCCCTACTTTCTATTTTTGAAATTTAAGTTTTCACATAAGGTCACCTTCAGAAGACTTTCATTTATTATCATTTAGCATTCATACTTGGCAAGTGGTATCAATTCAATTCAAACATGAATTCTATCTTATAAAGTAGAAATATAAAACCCCTCGGAATACTGGCTTGCTGTGCTCAAAATATAACTAATACTGTTAAATACATCTGCAAAATGTGCCTCCGATTTCAACCAAACACTGTGATTCAGCATGTCAAAGGAAGTGCCATATTTTCAAAAAGTCAGTATCAGAAAAAAATCATCTTATGTTGACTGAAAGATTATCATATGATTTTAAGGGATGTTGAAAAACTGTACTATCTTACATATAATAGTAATAATATTACTCCAAACAATCTAGTTAACATTTTCTGCATGTAGATTCAAGATATTCAATTGAAAAGATCTTGTGAGCCCAAGTTTTTTCCTTCTTGTTTGACATCTTCTGGAGACTAAGTAAAAATACAAGTGAATGTATCCATTATAATTGATCTACTAACAATTCCTAAATATTTTTTATACTACATATACATATTACAAGGTCTTACTTTAAAAAAACAAATAGGATTGAGGTAACCTCCATTTCCATCACATAATTTTAGATGCTGTTTTACAAGGAATATTTATTATATAATTTCAAAATATTCAATTTGAGAAACACGCTAATATACAGTCAACTGTAAGTTTGCCAAAAGAACCATTAATAAAGTGGAAATTATACATGAATAAGTATTTCAACTTTTTTTTTGGAAAACCTATCTTTTCTTCTAATAACCTGATCTACTGTTTTAACATCATTAATCTGTCTCATTATTTGAGATAAATATGATTGGGGGAAAGGAGCACTTGACAACCATGGGATTCTGAAATTAATATCATTAAATTTAATTGCAAATTTTGAAATGCTAAAGCAACCTTTTTTGGCTAATCCTTCAAAGATACAAAGTTCTTCACCCATAATGTACTTAAAAAAATTCATTAAGATTGCTGACGAGTTGTCACTGGGATGCGTTGAAGAATACTATAACTCGGCTAAGCTCTGCATAAATGAAAGTCATAACTGCTCCATATACCACAGTTATGAGTAGGCAAATACACCAGGCTTACAGGATTTCAAACATAAGCAGTTACGTTTCCTTCGTTAAACAGCAATTTCTTCAATTCATCATCAGAATTACTGTCTGTTAAGATTTAATAATAAATGAGTATAACAAAATAATCTACAGGCCTCAGTGTACTGGTAATGCACTGATGATTTTAATACTTTGAATAAAAACAGAATGGCATCCTATTTTTACATTTTGGAGACTGCAGTCGTTTAACTTTATATCATGTCAGAAAGCATATGGCAGTTCCAATTTTTTCATCAATGTTTATTGATTCAACAGAAAGAAGATCCAAGAGAATATCAAAGGGTAAGGGAGGAGATAGAATGATTTCTTTTTTCAGATATAAAAAGCTGAACTTACTAATTATAACACAAGAAAGATTATATTGATTCCATGTAATGACTGTTGTATACTATGTGATAGCTAAATCAGATTTAACTAACTGGAGCATTTTATTTTTAATCCATATCAGCCCAATTAATTGTTTATTATTAACATGATTCAGTATTAGTGACTCAGTCCAGGAATGGGAAATGCTTAGTAATTGGAGTAAAAGTTGTATATGAAATTAAGGCTATTTTTTCCTTATAGATTATAAGGCAAAGCCTTTCCAATGCACCATTAGGAAAGGGGGTCTCCAGGGATACACATTACAATCCCCCACAGCAAGAATGGTAGATGAGAGGGATTTTTTAAATACTCCAATGTTTAAGACCCACCTCAACTAAATCATATTTTGAAGGTGCTGCCCAGTCTTAGGTATTTGTCTGAAAATCTCAAGTAATTCTAAAGTGTACTAAAAATTAAACAATATTGATTAATGAATAAATTCTATTCTAGGCTAATTTGGTTATATTTCTGTAAAATGCTGGAAACTAAAGGTGTTATGGATAGATAGTTTGTATTACATAAGAATAGCTTTATCCAAAATTTTGAAAAGAAAGAAAAAATACTTAATTTTGTAATCAACATATTGTCCCACATATGAAAGATTGTGAATATTATAACAAGTGAGAAAAGAACAGATTGTTAAGATAAATACTACAAAGACAATAAAGGTTTCCTTTACTTTCGTGTCTTCTCTGAGTCATCTACATCTTTTTGCATTTACAGGTTTGGGCTTTTATGGAATTCAATTTCTTACAGGATATGAAATAATAAAGCATTGTCACAAAGTTGTGGCTTTAAACTCAAATTAATGTGGCCCAGTGTTTGTTTTTTCCTTTTCTTTCCATTTTTTTCTCCTTCAGAAATAAATGTCTATTTGTAATAAATAAGCCAAAGTAGGAAAGTATGTAAAGAGGAAATTCACATGTATTGAAAGGTTACCATGTTCCATGCACAAGTATAGTGATAGCCTAAAGCATCCTATTATAAAACACAGAGAATATCTACAACTGGGATGAGTTCACACATGAGATAAAACGTCACTTTAATATTCTCATAAAGAGTTGAGTGTAAAGTTAAGAGTCTCATGAAATGGATGTTCTATAAGATTCAAAGATTCTTTTGATGGCAGGACACAACACTCTGACAGGGATACATGAAAGAGGGGGCCTCTTTGTTGCTTCCAGTTCCAGAGGAGAGGAGGGTGCTATACAAAGACACACAGTGGGTTCCCCGGGGACAGGGTAATGGTGAACTGGAGCTGTACAAGGTGGCTAATGCATGGCCAGAAGGGTGGGGTTAACGGGTTAACTGTGCTTCCTGGGCTCCCTGTGGACTGGTTGCAGCGCATACATAGAGTTCCCTGGAGAGTGGATGTCTGATAAGGGCAGTGATTAGAGATGGGGGCTTAGCAGACTGCTTGTGAAGGGGATCTGAGAGTTTCTAACTATCACTGAGTTTTGACTCAGTCAAAATAGCACTTGTGAAATATTACATTAAAATTAATGTTTTTGATGTCTTGATCGGTTTTTGTTTGTTTTTAGACAGGATCTCACTATGTTGCTCAGGCTGGAGTGCAGTGGGTCCATCGCAGCTCACTGCAGCCTCAACCTCCCAGGCTCAGGTGATCCTCCCACTTCAGCCTCCAAAGTAGCTGGGACTACAGGGTCATGCCACCAAACCTGGCTAATTTTTGTATTTTTTATAGAGATGGTGTTTCGCCATGTTGCCCAGGCTGGTCTGGAACTCTTGGGCTTAACAGTCCTCCCACCTCAGCCTCCCAAAGTGCTGAGATTATAGGCCTGAGCCAGACATCAGTTTCAAGCTCAACTATTTGGGGTATTTGTGTGGCCTTGATTGTATAAGAGAATTCCAGAAAGTAGAGCATGAGTTGCCATAAAGAGTGGAGAAAACATTTTATGATGGCAGTAGAAAGGAAGAAACCTAGTAGAAGCATGAGGAATTTCTGAAGGCCAGCTTGTAGCATGCCGTCTTTTGTTTCATATCAAACAGAATAACAGATTAATCATGGCAGGGACTTCCAGTCATATTTTAGTTGAATTATAGAGTATACTAAATATGTGGGTTATGTTTGTTTTGGTGTGATGTTACAAACACCTTCTTGATTAATAAATACTCAAGGGCCAATCTATTGTCATAACCCCTTTGTGTCAGGTTCTCTGGCCTTTATTAAGCAGGTCTAATATTTTGTACTTTAGAAATATAGAATACTAGAATTGGAAGCTTGTAGATTAGCATCAATGATTTTTAATTGCTGATTTAGAAAGATGCTCCTCGCGGCTGTTCCAGCAATCCCAGAGTGGTAGGGAGTCCCAATATTATATATATGAACACAGGACATTAATGACATTGGTCCAGATGGAGGAAGAATGATTAACATTTGTATAAATAGGAAGATCAACACCAAGAGAGCCCAGAATGCATCAATGTGGTTTGTGGCTTGGGAGTGGTGGAAGGGCAAAGAAAAGGGGATGAGAACCCTTGTCGGCTGTCCCAGAGGGGAGCCCTGTGGTATTACCTTTCGATTGGAAAGCTGTCCCTCACTTACCTCACTTTAGGTAAATAGAAATTACTAAAGAATGAAGTGGAAGAAGACAGTAATCTTTGTGTGCCTAAGGCGAGGATGTAGAGGTGTAGAGTTGTCCTTTAGGATCTATGTGCTATGTGTTGAGGAAACATGGCCACTTGCCATGTGGAGGTGATCTATATGCAAGGGAGATGCCAGTTTGAAAGAAGTTTTCATTTTCCAATATGTTCCATCTCCAGGAAAGATATCAGTTGGATGAAAGTGCAGTATGTCATGTGATCTATAGAAGTAGGTGTATGGTAAATCCACCAGTTACCGATCATGAATGCATGAAAGACTAGTTCATTTAAACCTATGTGTAAGTTGGATGTCTATAAATATCCAAGGGACTGGGTGATGAGTTTGGATTTTATTTTCCAGGGAAGGCAAGATGCATAGGCACTGTTCAGATGGGAGGAACAAAATTATTTACAACCACTAAACTTTCAGGGTTTAAATTCAGTTTCTGGTCAGTTGTCCATCCTTCTGGCTTTCTGGGTGGCAAGAGGACAAACTCTTAAGGCAGCCACTCTCATTTCAAGGGCTCCCAGTCCACCTCTGAGGGATTGAGAGTCATACTCAGTAGAGCTAGTATTGCCTGCTTCTGAGAGAAAGCAGTTGTTTCCTTACCATCAGTTAGGTATTATCCCTTTAGCATGTTGATATGCAGAGATCTCAGTGCTCATGCAAATTTGCTTGGGATTTCACATTGTTTGCATAATTAGGTCACTTAGGCTGGTGTTCTGGGGGATTCAGGAAGAAAGTATTAATTCCTTTGCCTGCTTTGAATTAAGCAGTAGGCCACTGGCCTCCATGGGTGTGATTCACATTATCCATGGGGGGTCTCAGGAGCACAAAGTTTACTAGCAACAGCAGCGAGGTGTGCAGCAGCAAAGATAACAACTGAGGCTTTTATCCTACCTGAAAAACACTTGCAAGACTGAGGTGCCATTTCTCTCCTTTGGGGGAGCCCAATCATCACCTTCCTTCTTACGGGGTTGCCTGAAACAAGGGTTTTGCCTACAATAATAATAAATTCAAACACCAACGAAGTGTTAGGTCCCTGGGATTGGCCTCTGCCAAATACAAGCTGTGAGCAGAAACACAGAGGAACCCCAAGCTCAGAAAGTGTGGCTCAAGTAGCCTATAGCTCCAATTGCTCTAAGGCGGGCCCTCATCTAAGGTTGTATCTGGACACTGGCGTTTAGTCAGTTAGCACTGTTCATTTTGAATATGCAGATACCAAGAAAATTCGGGTAAAAAGAGATGTGGCAACCACCAGCAGACACAGCAGCAAACACCAGCTGCTACAGCACAAGCTCATCAACAGGCAGCAGTTCTATCCCACGCTGCTTTTGCCATAGTCTGGACTTAATTAGTAAACCAAAAACAATCTACCCAAGAGCTATCCAATCATCAGTAGTTATGGTCATGTCCTTCTGCTCATGACACTAAATGTTTTATAAGACTTAAAGATTCTTTTGATGGCAGGATACAGCACACTTGGATAGATGAAAGGCAGAACTCTTTGATATTTGCAGCTCAACATGAAAAGAAACTGACAGTTGCACCCAGGAATAGGTGCACCAGGGACAACTTGGAGAAAGCAGCTTCTGTATGCAAGCTGAGTGGAGCTAGCTGGGATTCCCAGGCTCCCTGTGGATTGGCTAATTTGAATAATTTCATGAGCGCCAGGGGATAGAAGCTGTCTCTAGTTGTCTAGTACCTGACCCCAGAAGGTGGGAGCCCAATAATAGAAGTGGCTGGGTGTATGCATAGAGTTACCTGGAGACTGGAAGCCTGGTAAGGGAACTGATTAGAGGTGGGGGCTTAGAAAACTGCTGGGAAGGGGAATTGAGAGGTTTTAGCCATGACTTTAAAATTAAGTCAAGACAGCACCTGTGAAATTTTACATTAAAATAGGTGCCCTTGATTCCGTTATTCCATTCTCTTCAATATATTTAGTGAAGCCTTTATTAACACCATAGAATTGAGAAAATGCTGTATATTTTATTCCCCCTTTGATTTTTAAAACATAAGTTTCCTCTTCAAACTGATTCAAAAGATCTGTCCAGTAAATAATATGAGAAATCAAAAGGAACATTTTTTTCTAACCTTATTGGTTTCTTTAATACAAAAAATAATAGACAATCTCTCCCATATGAAGAATTGTATCCTACCAGAATTTGGATTTTGCTTGGTGTTATACCATGTTTGCTCTTTGAATTAGTGCTAAATATTTTTGTTTTCTTTTTGAATGTTATCTAGTTTTGGTTTATTTTTTGGATTCTGTCAGATCCAAAATCCAAGCAACTCTATTTAGTTTCCTTCTTTTTAGGTATATTACTTTCTCTATACTCTAGAATATTACAGTATTATATTTTAGGTTTGCAAATGGTTTTGGATATCTTTATATTATTATAATATTCTCATATTTACATGAGAAAATTATTGCAGAAGTTTTACCAACCATTCATTCAAGTTATTTTGCCTATTATGTTGCATGTTCATAGCAGTACTATTCCCCATGGCTGAAACTGGAAACAATTTAAATGTCCATCAATGAATAAATTGATAAACAAATTGTGGTATATTCATATGAGGAAATATTATTCAGCAACAAAAATTAAAGGAATACTAATATATGTGACAATATGAATGGACTTCACAAACATTAAGCTAAGTGAAGAAAGTCAGACAAAAAAGGCCATATATTGTAAGGTACTATTTACATGAAATGTCAAGAATATGCAAATATAGTGACAGAAAGTGAATTAGTGGCTGCCGGGGCTGGTGGTTGGAGTGGAGAGTGGCTGTAAAATGGAAGGAATTTTCTTTTTGCATTAATGGAAATGTTCTAAAATTACATTCTGGTGATAGTCGCACAACTGTGTAAATAAACTAGAAATCATTGAGTTACATATCAAAAGTAGATAAATTTTATGCTACATAAATTACATTGTAATAAAGCTGTTAAAAAAAGAATTATGGCCTAGTATTGCCCACATCTGAATAAACAAAACCACACAAAATAAATGATGATGATCCAAATTATAGTAATACTAAATTATAATAAACAGCAACAAACAAAAACAGGCATGATACCTGCTTTACTGGAACTTATAATCCACTTGAGAAGGTATATTTGTATCAAATATTAACATAAATGAATCCAAAATTGCCAGTGTGACACAAGGCTATCCCAAAATGCATGGCATCTTTAAATAAAACCCGTGAGAGGAGACTGTGACTTCAGTCAAGGAGATCAACAAAATCAAGGGACATTTGTGTCAAGATCTAAAAGACAGAAAACAACTAGGCTGAAAGGAAACGATGAATCTCCCAAGCAGAGGGAGCTAAAGATGTGTATTTGGAAGAATGGACTAAAGCAGCTATTGTGCAGAGACTGGATGGGGGTGAATCTGGAGAGTAAGATAAGATCTAGACCATAGTCTAAAAATACTTTCACATCATATTAGGTTTAATCTGAAATTATCCTAATATTTTAAATAGAAGAGGTGACATTATCAGATTTGTGTCTTAAAATGATCACCACAACTGCAATGTAGAAAATGCGTTTCGAGGATATCAGAGAGAAAGAGATGCTACACAGTTAGGGGAAGTGAAGAAGGGAGATGTGGCCAAATGTATAACTTTCTAGGAAATAGAGTCAGTGGGTCAGTGGGTAATCCCCAGATTCCTCACTTGAGAAGCAGTTTGAGTCATGGTGGCATTCTCTGAAACCAATCAGGTTGGGCAAGGAGATTATAAATTTCCTTTGGTGTTTGGTGAGTTCAAGATATCTTAAGTTTCTGCTCTCCGTGTAGCATCCTGATATCAAAGACAATTTTGAAAATTTTTGAATAAAAACATAGATATTCTAGATTATCTTATTTGTACATGAGAATTGTGTTGGCATATGTTAAAAAAATCCATGATACTCTCATTAGCAAATGCTAATGTTGTGCTTACACAGAAACAACAAAATGAAGAATTTAATGAAGCATTTTGAAAAAAGACATGAAAGCAAACTAGAAAACAAAAAGGGAATTCTACTTTGCCCGTGTGATCTACCAGGCCCCCCTTGTTCTGTCTTCTAGTTGTCATCTCCTGTCTCTATCTGCCTCACATTTTATGTTTCAGAAAAAAAAAATATTACTAGTAGTTTCCTGGAATACACCATGCTATTTCTTACCTAATCCTATTTTTGTTTACCTCCTTCAGCAGTCCTTTTCCTAATTCCCAAATTGCCTGTGTTATTGATTTGTGTCCTACGAGATTAAGCAGAGGCAAACAGTTTAGGGAGCTGATGAATCTGGAGAGTAAGATCAGATCCAGACCATGGTCTAAAAATGGTATCACAAGATATTAAGTTTAATCTGAAATGATCATAATATTGTAAATAGAGGAGAAGACATCATCTATGTGTTTTAAAAAGATCATCATGACTGTGTACAGTTCAGGGAGCTGAGTTAGATCCTTCTCATCCATTCTTCCATTGCCCTTCATGCCTTCTCTTTCACAATAATACATTTAATACAAAGTTTTGCCAACATCTGTAATCATCTGTTTATATTTCTGTTGGTTTCACCCCTCTGTTAGCACATTGTGTCTTATTCAGGTTTATATTCCCTATATTTAGCAAAATAGCTGTTAAAGAGTTGATATGTGTTAGATTCTCCAAATGGAATACCCAAAATAACACTCCTCTTCGCTACCTAGTTACGAAGAGATTGAAAAACAAAACTAGGATAAGAAGCAAGGTTGAAATAATTATCTTTATTACCAGAAAAGTTCAAGTTGTTGGATACTGATATATACAGGCAGAAGGCCTTACTGATGCAAACTCTTAAATGAGAAAGACGGATCAGTTAGTCACAGGAAATACAGGACCTGGGGGGATCGCTGTAAACTTACAATGTGAAGGAGATGAAGCAAGTCTGACACTACGCTAACTGAACTTCATTCACAGAAGGAAAAGACCATGAGTGGGAATATGCATTCTTTATTAACAGGCCTCAACAATTATGTTGTATAATTGAAAACAAAACAGTGAGACTTGCCCTAATAAAAAAGAGAAGACTTACGGTGGGGAGAAGAACAAGGTTACTGGAAAAGAAGGCTATAAGGATACCATCAACATTTCATTCCAATAGGTACTATTAATTTAAAATATGTATTAACATATTAAATATTAATTTTCTAAAATGACTTTCATTCCCTACATAAATTGAATTTCTTCACTGATCAGTCATGTATAGCAAATGTAACCTTCAAGCAGGCTTATGCTTACAGTAATTATTTAATTTTATAATTTTCTGTTTTGTGTTTTTGCCCCCAACAAATGTCTTTGGTTTCTAAGAACCAATAGGGAATTCTGTTAACAATAAAATGAGTTACAAAAGCTGAAAATTATGAATGCAGCAACTTATAAGCTGCTTAGCGACCATCTGGTGTCCTGAAGCTTAATTTTGAATCAGTTAACTCTGAAAGGACTGCAGAATTCATTTTTTATTGCAATATTTTAAAAAAGGTTATCAGTTCACATCTAAAACATTTTCTATCTCAGTTATTCAATCTTTCATAGATTCTCTCAAGCATCAAATTATGTTTGTTATATTTATATTTTCAAATATTTCTCAGTTAGAAAAATAAAAATTTCACTTTAGATTATAACTGACCAAAATATTTGAGTAAATTTAGCTCTGCAGTGAAGAAAATATTTTAAAATATGACTTTTTTTTTCTACTGATGCATCTCACAGCTGGGATAAATGTCAAGAAATAGTTCACTGAAGGCTATATCATTATTTTACACACAATCACAAGTTTAACATCCTACATAAACATATGTTCAGAAAAACTCTTCAATTCTTTTGCCAACTGGAGACACACTGCTCAGAAAACCAAATTAAGTTAGAGACATGTGTCCAAACCCACTATTTTAGCTGTCAAAACTGCATCTACCAGAACAAATTCTTCTTTTCTTGACTTTGAATGATGGCAATAAAGACATTCTATTTTTTTGTTCCTGCAATCAAAATATAAAACTGAGATTTTATAAAACACTATATTAAATTTTTAACCAGCTTTAATTTTATAAAAGCAACTATAAGAAAATTAGTAAAGAATTTCTAAGATGGAATTAGAAAACCTTTCTTTGGCCGGGCGCGGTGGCTCACGCCTGTAATCCCAGCACTTTGGGAGGCGGAGGCGAGCAGATCACGAGGTCAGGAGATCGAGACCATCCTGGATAACACGGTGAAACCCCGTCTCTACTAAAAATACAAAAAAATAGTCGGGCGTGGGGGCGGGCGCCTGTAGTCCCAGCTACTCCGGAGGCTGAGGCAGGAGAATGGCGTGAACCCAGGAGGCGGAGCTTGCAGTGAGCCGAGATCTTTAACCTTTCTTTAACATGTGGATAAAAGGAAATTCATATATTAATATTTGAATTGCAAAAGACACATATAAATATAAATAAATATAAAATCGCATTTTGAAACACCTAAAATTATGTTGTTGGAAAGATTTTGCAACCAAGTGTTTACAGTAGCATAATAATTTGGGTGAAGGCAATTTCTAGATTGAAGTCTAGGTTTTCGATCTGTAAACACTGTTTTGTTTTATTTTTTTTTAAATAAAGTGTGTAGAGTTTTTCTATGGAGGTTCCAAGAAAAAAAAAATGAGGAACTCTATTAGTCTGTTCTCACACTGCTAATAAAGACATACCCAACACTGGGTAATTTATAAAGGAAAGAGGTTTAATTGACTCACAGTTCTGCAGGGCTGGGTGGGCCTCAGGAAACTTACAGTCATGGCTGAAGGGGAAGCTAACACGTCCTTCTTCACCTGGTGGCAAGAGAGAGAAGAATGAGAGCCAAGCCAAAGGGGAAGCATCTTATAAATCACCAGATCTCCTGAGAACTCACTCAGGAATAGCATGGGGGAAACCCCCACCCCCCCACTGGCCCATGATTCAATTACCTTCCACCAGGTCCCTACCATCACATGTGGGGATTATACTTGGCTAGGAACACAACCAGACCATATCATTCCACCCCGACCCCTCCCGAATCTCATGTCCTCACATTTCAAAACACAATCATGCCCTTCCAACAGTCCCCCAAAGTCTTAACTCATTCTAGCATTAACCCAAAAGTCCAAGTTCAAAGTCTCATCTGAGACAAGGCATGTCCTTTCTGCCTATGAGCCAGTAAAATAAAAAGAAAGTTAGTTACTTCCTAGATACAATGAGGGTACAGGCATTCGGTAATTACACCTGTTCGAAATGGGAGAAATTGGCCAAAAGAAAGGGGCTACAGGCTCCATGCAAGTCTGAAATCCAACAGGGCAGTCAAACCTTAAAATTCCAATATGATCTTCTTTGACTCCATGTCTCACATCCAGGTCACGCTGATGCAAGAGGTAGGCTTCCACAGCCTTCTGCAGCTCCACCCCTATGGTTTTGCAGAGTACAGTCCCCGTCTTAGTTGCTTTCACAGGCTGGTGTTGAGTGTCTGTAGCTTTTCCAGGCACATGGTGCAAGTTGTCAGTGGATCTACCATTCTCGGGTCTGGAGGATGGTGGCCGTCTTCTCACAGCTCCACTAGGCAGTGCCCAGTGGGGACTCTGTGTGGGGGCTCCAGCTTCACATTTCTCTTCCATACTGCCCTAGCAGAGGTTCTCTATGAGGGCCCTGCCCCAAGAGCACACCTCTGCCTGGACATCCAGGCATCTCCATACATCCTCTGAAATCAAACCTCAAGATGTGTTAACAACAGGCCCAATACTATGTGAAAGCCACCAAGGTTTGGGGCTTACACCCTCTGAAGCAACTGCCTGAACTATATGTTGACCTCTTTTAGCCATAGCTGGAACTGAGGCATCTGGGACTCAGAGAACCATGTCCTTAGGCTGCACAGAGCATTGGGGTTCTGGGCCTGGCCCATGAAACAATTTTTCCCTCATAGGCCTCAGGGTCTGTGATGGGAGGGGCTGCCATGAAGGTCTCTGGCCTGACCTGGGGAAATTTTCCCCATTGTCTTGGTGATTAACATTCAGCTCCTTGTTACTTACGCAAATTTCTGCAGCAGACTTGAATTTCTCCCCAGAAAAAGGATTTTTCTTTTCTACTACATTGTCAGGCTGTGAATTTTCCAAATGTTTATGCTCTGCTTCCTCTTGAACTCTTTGCTGCTTAGAAATTTCTTCTGTCAGATACCCTGAATTATCTCTCTCAAGTTCAAAGTTCCACAGATCTCTAGGGCAGGGGCAAAATGCCCCCAGTCTTATTGCTAAAGCATAGCAAGAATCATCTTTATTCCATTTCCCAAAAAGTTCCTCATCTTCGTCTGACACTACCTCAACCTGGAATTTATTGTTCATACCACTATCAGCATTTGTGTCAAAGCCATTCAACAAGTCTCTAGGAAGTTCCAAACTTTCCCACATTTTCCTGTCTTCTTCTGAGCCCTCCAAACTGTTCCAATCTATTCCTGCTATCCAGTTCCAAAGTTGCTTCCACATTTTTGGGTATCCTTGTAGCAGCACCCCACTCTCTGTGGTACCAATTTACTGTATTAGTCCATTCTCACACTGTTAATAAAGACATACCAGAGACTGGGTAATGTATAAAGGAAAAAGGTTTCATAGACTGACAGTTCCACAGGGCTTGGGAAGCCTCAGGAAACTTACAATCGTGGTAGAAGGGGAAGCAACTATGTCCTTTTTCACATGGCAGCAGGAGAGAGAAGAATGAGAACTGAGCAAATGGGGAAGTTGCTTATAAAACTGTCAGAGCTCATGAGAATTTACTATCACAAGAATAGCGAGGGGGAAAGTGCCCCCAGGATTCAATTACCTCCCACCAGGTCCCTCCTACCACACATAAGGATTACGGGAACTACAATTCAAGATGAGATTTTGGCGGGGACACAGCCAAACCATGTAAGGAACCAACTGCCACGTTAAATAATGCTATAAAAAATTGAACTCTGCTAAAACATTATTAGGAAGCACACAATTTATGGGATTCCATCACAGATAGCAGAGAATCTATACAAAGTGCAAATATCTCTTTAAGGGACTTAGTAGGAAAAGAAGTCAGTATTACAAGTAAGCTTTTAAATACACAGCAAATTTTATCAGTCAAAAATAACCATCTTTTTATCGTTGGGGATGGGCTTCAGGTGTTCCCCAGGAACATTTATTTATTTATTTATTTTATACTTTACATTTTAGGGTACATGTGCACAATGTGCAAGTTAGTTACATATGAATACATGTGCCATGTTGGTGTGCTGCACCCGTCAACTCGTCATTTAACATTAGGCGTATCTCCTAATGCTATCCCTCCCCCGTCCCCCCACCCCACAACAGGCCCCGGTGTGTGATGTTCCCAGAAACATTTAGAGTCAGGTATAAACTTTTGTGTTAAAGAATGTTCTTTTAAAGATAGAACTATGTGTTCTTCCTGTTACAGGCTATAATATTTAATCTGTCTTAGTATAAATATGACTAGAGTGAATTTTCACCTATATTAACTTATCTTTGTTAGAGTTTCTTTCTTCTTCAGCAAAGTTTATGGCATTATGTTTAAGTTTTATAGGCCTCTGCTTATTACAAGAAACAAAACAAAACAAAACAAATCCAAGAAACCAAGAAACCACACAAACCAAGAAAAAAAAGAAGAAAGAAAAATAAGAAGAAAAGAAGAAGGAGAAATATCATTAACACCAAGTAAAACAGAAAGATATAGCCAAATAAACATTTTACTGAAAAATCTTATTTGGTTTTTATATGTATCAATGTGCATATTTTTATATTAAAATGATCATATGCAACTCTTTGGTGGTATTTTTTACTTGACAAATCATGTGCATTTTTATTTGCCAAAAATTATTCGTGTTAAAATATATTTAATTGCTGCAAAATATACCATTATGTGGCAATATCAAATTCCTATTTTTGACAGAAATGATATTTATGATATTTTATTATTTTAAATATTAAAATAAACTTTAGTATACACACTTCTTTGCCAACTGTCACTAAACTGAGGAATTAATTTTTTTAACTTTTTATTTTGAAAGAATTTTAGACTTCCCCCGAAATAAAATGTATTTCAGTTTTTCCATAAATCTTTCACCCAAATTACCCTAATTTTAAATCTTAATAATACAACAATATCCAAACCCAAAAACTGACATTGATATAACATTAATCTTCAATTCTGATTCCAATTTCAACATTTGTCCCACTGATGGCCTTCTTACGGTGCAGAACCAATAGAGAATTCCACACTGCATTTGTGGCCATGGCTTTTTACTCTCCTCCGATTTATGACAGTTCCTTAATATTCTTCAGTTTTTTGTGACACTGACACTTTAAAAAGTACTAGTAAGTTATTTGGTAGACTTCAACTTAATTTCAATTGTTTTTATGTTTTCTTATTATTACATTGAGTTTGTGCATATGGGGGAAGAATACCACAGTAGTGATTTCTGCCAGATTTCTGCATTGTAAAAACACTATGTTCTCTTTGTCACAAATGAGTATCTTTTATAGAGATTTTTGACACTGCATGTATGCTATTTCTCATCATACTTTAATCTAATAATTTTAGCATCCACTGATTCTTCTTGCCTGCAAAAATATTATTGAGGTATTTGTCTAATGGTGATTTTCTATTTCCATCATTCCTTTTCATTTACTTACTGAAATTCTTCTGTAAGAAGTTTTCCTTCTCCCTTACTGATGCATTCAATTATTTACTTATGGGCTCATAAATATCCATGAGTACAGATTCATGGATATTATTTTATTGGTTATAATCCAATACTAACATATCGATTTTGTTGACAAAATTATCCCAGCTTTATCCCATTGGGAGTTACTTCAAGTGACTTCTGTGCCTTTTCAATAATTCTTTATCATGTTTTGAACATTTCCTTACTCTGATATCAAAACATTCTGGTCCTGTTGTGTATGTTCACTGTCCCAGTCCTTGAATCAACAATTTCTCCAAACCAAGATGGGAGGCTAAACATGCTCATTGCTGTTATTCTGTCGTTGCTTCTAAGCCCTGTCAGCAAACTAAGCTAGGAAACAAAGCTATGGATATTTACAGAAACCTATCCATAAATCTATATGTATTATCATATCAGTCTATCCGTTATCTGTATACATAATTAAAACCATGAATTCATTCTGGCATTTCAAATTCTAATTCAACACCACAAGGTCCATTCTAGTCTTCTTTCTTTCCTTATTTACAAATTCTTTCTCTCACTGTGATAAATCTGGCACTCAACATCCACAATAAATATATACTTGTTTGTTCAGTTTTGGTAAACACATAAAATAGTTTCAGAATTGCTAGCTAAGCCCCTGTTTGAAACACATTTATTAATAAAAATACAGTATCAAAGTGCAATTCTTCTTATCCTTAGCATTCTACCCCAAATATTATTTTCCAAATTCACATTCAAATATTATTTTCCAAAATTGCTAAGGTTAGTACTTTTTTCATCAACACATTGTGTTTATATTACTTATTCATAACTCAGTTCATTTGTTACTGTTTATGTTCTTTTTCAAAATTCTCCTCATATTCTGTCAATTTCTGTTATTTCTTTGGTTCTTGATATGTAAAACATTACCTTGGTTCTAAGTGAAAGAACTATACAAAAATGTATATTCAGAGAAATGTGGTTAATGGTCATCCCCATAAATCCATTCTTATTTCTCAATTTGCTCCACTTTATTCTTTTGCACTCCTGTAACTAATCTGTTAGTGTCTGGTTTATATTTTCTGCATGTGTTTTCTGCAAATGTGCACATATCTATTTCCTTTTATCCTCTTCTTTCTTATATAATGGGATAGCATAGAAGTGATATTGCTTGGCGTTCTTTTCCTAATATATCTTGGAGTTCACTTCATATCAAGTAATAGACTGTTTCATTATTCTTTGTTATAGCTTTATAGTACTCCATGGTGGATATATCGTAGGTGAGAGGCCCACTCCCCATGTATGGACATTAAGCTTTTTCAATACTTTGCAATGATGTACAACGTTAAAATGAATAGTCTTGGGGTTTTTTTGTTTTATTTATTTTTTTCTGAGACAGAGTCTTGCTCTGTTGCCCAGACTAGAGTATGCAACCTCAGCTCACTGCAACCTTCACCTCCAGGTTCAAGCAATTCTCCTGCCTCAGCCTCCCAAGGAGCTGGGATTGCAGGTACCTGCCATCATGCTCAGCTAACTTTTGTATTTTTAGTAGAGACATGGTTTCACCATGTTGACCAGACTGGTCTTGAACTCCTGACCTCAGGTGATCCACTAGCCTTAGCCTCACAAAGTGCTGACATTGCAGGCTGAATATGTATTTTTATATTTTTAGAAGTGTACATTCAGGACAGATACTAAGAAGTTATATTGCTTGGTCAAAAGCTGATTTTTTTTTTCTGATACAGAGTCTTGCTCTGTCGCTCAGGCTGGAGTGCAGTAGCAAGATCTTGGCTTGCTGCAACCTCCGCCTACTAGGTTCAAGTGATTCTCCTGCCTCAGCCTCCCGAGTAGCTGGGACTACAGGTGCGCACCATCACACCCGGCTGATTTTTCTGTGTTTAGTAGAGACAGGGTTTCACCATGTTGGCCAGGCTGGTCTCAAACTCCTGACCTCAGGTGATCCACCACCTTGGCCTCCCAAAGTGCTGGGACTACAGGCATGAGCCACTGCACCTGGCCCACTGATTTTTTTTAAATAGAAATGTCCAGAAAGATACATTGCTTCACTTCTTGATGCAGTATGCAGTTTTAAGAACTTTGACACTCATAAGCAAATATTAGCCTGTCTGAAAGTCATGTCTATCTTTAAGTACTACATTGAATAGTTTAAATGGAGAGAAGAATGCAGACTACAAGAAAGTGACAGCAGAAACTATGAAGTTAATAAACTGCAAAGTAAAATTGATAGAAATGAGGACATAAAAGGAGAGATTAACACAAGAGTAGAAACGGTGATGTAGAAGGTTGGTTTCACTTCTTTTCACAGAAATCCAAAAACAAATACACAGAGCCAAGATTATCATCAACAATAACGTGGCACTCAAATATGAGGATGAGACTGTTCCTGGGGTCACACAGAAATAAAAAAAAAATTCAAGCAGAGCATAAGAGAATAGGACTTCCTCATTTGTGACACCCCTGACCCCATTCTTCCCAGCACTAAATGTGCGGAAAATCTCCAGTCAACTCATAGATTCTACACTGGAAAAAGTGAGATCGAGGTGAACACAGAAAAACCCAGAATACTCTAATACTGTAACTGTGGAGTACGATTTACTCATAACTCTAGTATGAAATCCAAGAGACAAATTTATCAAAAATAATAACTATAGTAACCTGGCAAGAGACAGGAAATGACAAAATATGTAAATTGAGATAGGTAAAAATGAAAATGTGGGGGAGATGGACTTGAGTTGTAGAATGTTTTATTTTTTTCTTTGTTTTTGTCCTTTTTGTTGTGATCTGAGTTGTCAACTCTCTAAAATAACTTGTTATAATATAATATTCATAAACTTCATAGTAACCACAGTGTAAAAACCTACAACCTATTCATAAAAATATAAAGCAATAAATTTAAACATACTACCAAAGAAATCACATAACCACAAAGGAAAACAATAAGTAGGGGAGAAAAAAATAGAGAAGATTTACAAAACAAACAACAAAGTGGCAGTAGTAGTAAGTCCTTACTTATCAATAAAAAACACTTAACATAAGTGAATTTGATTATCTAATTAAAAGGCGCAGAGTGCCTGCATGAGTAAAGAGATAATAGCCAAGTAGATGCTGACTACACAGAATTCAGTTCTCTTATAAGAACACACATAGACTGAGAGTGAAGAGGTGGAAAGATATTCCACACAACTGGAAACCAAAAAAGAGCAGGGATTTCTACACCTATATTGGATAAAAATAGAATACAAATCAAAGACTGTAAAAAGACACAAAGAAGGGCACTATATAATGACAAAGGAATAAACTGAGCAATCAGATATAGTAATTCTAAATATACATGCATGTAACATCAGATCACCAAGATATATAAAGCAAATATTATAAGATCTAAAGGGAGAGACAGACTACAATAGAATAATAGTAGGGGACTTTAACACCCTACTCTCAGTAATGGACAGACCTTACAGAAGAAAATCAACAAAGAAATGCTGGAGTAAAACTACACACTAAACCAGACAGCGCTAACTGAAATTTACGGAACATTTCACCCAACTGCCATAGAATGCACATTCTTTTCATTAGAATATGGAATATTCTCCAGAAGAAAGCATATCTTAGGCCATAAAACAAGTCTCAACAAATTCAAAAAAGTAGAAATCATATCAAATATCCCTTATAACAACAATAGATTAAAAGTAGAAATCTGTAACAAGAGCAACTTCAGAAACTACACAACATAACACATGGAAATTAAACAACATGCCTATGAATGACCAATGGGTCAATAAAGAAATTAAGAAGGACATTTTAAAACTTCTTGAAACAAATTAAAATGGAAATATTACATAATATTACATACCAAAATTTATGGATACAGCAAAACAGTAGTAACAGGGAAGTTTATAGAAATAAACATCTATCTCAAGAAAGTAGAAAGACTTCAAATAAACAACCTAAAAGAGCACCTCAAGGAACTATAAAACCAAGAACAAACCAAACCCCAAATTAGTAGAAGGAAAGAATAAAAATCAAAGCAGAAAGAAATGAAAATTATGAGGATGCAATGAAAAGGGAATGCTTATACACTGTTGGTGGGAATATAAATTAGTACAACCTTTATGGAAAACAGTATAGAGGTTTCTCAAATGACTAAAAATAGAACTACCATTTGATTAAGTAAACCAATTACTGGATATATACCCAAAGGGAAAGAAATCATATTTAAAAAGATGCCTGCACTTGTATGTTTATCGCAGCACTATTTGCAATAGCAAAGATATGGAATCAATATAAGTGTTCACTGACAGAGGCCTGGATAAAGAAAACATTATATGTATATATACACACACATATATATATATGTGTGTGTATATATGTATATATGTGTATATATATGTATATATATGTGTGTATATATATATGTATATATATGTTATAGAATACTACATACTACACAGTCTTTGAAAAAGAATGAAATCGTGTGTTTTGCAGCAAGATGGATAGAGTTTAAGGCCATTATCCTAAGTGAACTAACTCAGAAACTGAAAGTCAAATACTGCATGTATTCACTTATAAGTGGGAGCTAAACAATGGGTACACATGGAATAGTAGAATAATAGTGGAATAACAGATCAATATATACTATACACTAGAAACTATAAAAGGTGGGAAGAGCATGAGAGTTAAGAAACTACTATTGGGTACAATGTTCACTATTCAGGTGATGGGAACACCTAAAAACCCAAACCCTACCATTACACTATGTATGCATGTAAGAAACCTGCACTTGAACCCACTAAATATAAAAAATAAATAATTTTTAAAATAAATAAATAAAATTGATACTAAGAAAATAATACCTAAGATCAACAAGACAGAATCAACAAACAGTAGCTAAACTAAGAAAAAAGAGAGATGACCCAAATAAATAAAATCAGAAATGAAAGAGGAGACATAACAACTGAGACCACAGAAATTAAAAAAAAAAAAATCATTAGAGACCATTAGGACCAGCTGCACATCAGGAAACTGGAAAACCTAGAAAAAATGGATAAATTCCTGGACATATATAGCCCACCAAAATTGAACTATGAAGAAACAGAAAACCTCAACAAACCAATAACAAGTAACAAGACAGAAGCCATGATAAAATGGCTCCCATCAAAGAAAGGCCCAGGACCTGATGACTTCACTGCTGAATTCTAACAAACATTTAAAGAATTAACACCAATTCTACTCCAACTCTTTAAAAGTATTGAAGAGAGGGGAATACTTTGAAAATAGTTCTATGAGGCCAGTATTTCTCTGATAACAAAACCAGACAAGAACACAACTAGAAAAGAAAATTATAGACCAATATCACTCATAAACACAGATGCAGAAATTCTCAGCAAAATACTAACAAGCTTAACTCAACAACACGTTGAAACAATTATTCACCGTAATCAAGTGGGATTCATCTTAGGAATGCAAGGAGGGTTTAACATATACGAATTAATAAATGTGATATATCATATTATCAGAACCAAGAACAAAACAGTATGATTATTTTAATAGGTGCTGAAAAAGCATGTAATAAAATTCAACATCTCTTTAAATAAAAAGCCTCATCAAACTGAATATAGAAGAAATATATCTCAGAATAATAAATACCATATACGACAAACCCATAGCTAAGATAAGACTGAATAGAGAAAAACTGAAAGCCTTTCCTTTAAAATGTAGAACAAGACAAAATGCGAACTTTCACCACTTTTATTCAATATTATACTGGAAGTCCTGGACAGATCAATTAGGCAAGGAAAAGAAATAAAGAGCACTGGGGGGCTGGGCGCAGTGGCTCATGCTTGTAATCTCAGCACTTTGGGAAGCGAAGGCAGGTGGATCACTTGAAGTCAGGAGTTTGAGACCAGCCTGGCCAAAGTGGTGAAATCCCATCCCTACTAAAAATACAAAATTAGACAGGCAAGTTGGTACATGCCTGTAATCCCAGCTATTCTGGAGGCTCAGGCAGGAGAATCACTTGAACCCCGGAGGTGGAGGTTGTGGTGAGCCGAGATGGTGCCATTGCACTCCAGCCTGGGCAACAACAACAAACTCTGTCAAAAAAAAAAAAAAAAAAAAAAAAGGAAAGAAAGAAAGAGCATTGGAAAGGAAGAAGTCAAATTAGCTTTGTTCACAGCTGACGTGGTTATAAACATAGAAACACCTACAAACTCCACAAATAATACTCTTAAAACTAATAAATGAATTTACTAAATTTGCAGAACACAAAACCAACATACAAAAATCAACAACATTTATATACACCCAGAGCAAACAATCTGAAAAAGGAATCAAGAAAGCAATCCCATTTACAATAGTTACAAAAAATATAAAATACCTAGGAATCAGTTTAGCCAAACAAGTAAAAGATCTATACAAGGAAAACTATAAAACATTGATGAAAATAATTGAGGATGAGGATGACACAAAAAATGGAAAATATTCCACGCTCATGAATTGGAAGAATTAATATTGTTAAAATGGCAGTACTACCCAAAGCAATTTACAGATGAAATGCAATTATTATCAAAATACCAATGACATTCTTCACAAAAATATAAAAATAATTGTAAAAATTAAAAGGATTCACAAAATGTCCTGAATAGCAAAAGCAATCCTGAGCAAAAAGAACAGAACAATGCTAGAAGGATCACACTACCTGACTTCAAAATTTACTACAGAACTACAGTATCCAAATCAGCATGTCACTGGTATGAAAATAGACACAAAGTCCAGTGGAACAGAATAGAGAACCCAGAAATAAACCCATGTATTTAGAGCCACTTACCTTTGACAAAGATACCAATAACATACAATGGGGACAGGACAGTATCTTCAATAAATGGTGCTGGGAAAACTAGATAACTATATGCAGAGAAATGAAACTAGACCCGTCTCTCAAATCCATATAAATCCAATAAAAAATATCAAAGATTTAAATTTAAGATTTAAAACTATAAAACTAATAGAAGAAGATATTGGAGAAATACTCCACAACATTAGTCTGGGCAAATTTTTGTGTGTAAGACTTCAGAAGAACAGGCAATTAAAGCAAAAATAGTGTATTAGTCTGTCCTCACACTGCTATAAAGAACTACCTGAGACTGGGTAATTCATTTAAAAAAAAAAGAGGTTTAATTGATTCACAGTTCTGCAGGCTGTACAGGACACATGGCTGGGGAGGCCTCAGGGAACTTACAATCATGGTGGAAGATGAAGGGGAAGTCAGTACATCTTACATGCCAGGCAGGAGAGAGAGAGCAAGAGAGTGAAGGGGGAAGTGCTACACAATTTCAAACAAACACATCTTGTGAGAACTCTATTATGAAAAGAGCAAAGCAGAAGTCTTCCCCCATGGTTCAGTCTCCTCCCACCAGGCACCTCCTCTAACACTCCAACGAATTCTCATGTTGAATTACAGTTCAAACTTACATTCATACATTTCAAAATGTAATCTCACCTTTCCAACAGTCCCCTAAAGTCTTAACTCATTCTAGCATTAACTCAAAAGTCCATGTCCAAAGGCTCATCTGAGACAAAGTGAGTCCCTTCTGCCTGTAAGTGTGTAAAATCAAAAACAATTTAGTTACTTCCAAGATACAGTTGGGGTACAGATATTGAGTAAATGTTTCCATTCCAAATGGGAGAAATTGGCCAAAACAAAGGGGCTACATGACCCATGCAAGTCTGAAAACTAGCAGGCGGTTGATATGGTTTGGTTCTGTGTCCCCACCCAAATCTCATTCTGATTTGTACTCCCATAATTCCTATAAGCTGTTGGAGAGACAGGGTGGAAGATAAGTTGAATCTTTGATTTGTACTCCCATAATTCCTATATGCTGTTGGAGAGACAGGGTGGAAGACAAGTTGAATCATAAGGGTGGTTTCCCCCATACTATTCTTGTGGTAGTGGGCAAGTCTCATGAGATCTGATGGTTTTATCAGGGATTTCTGCTTTTGCATCTTCCTCATTTTCTCTTGCTGCCACCATGTAAGAAGTGTCTTTTGCCATCTGCCATGATTCTCCACATGGCCTCCCCAGCCATGTGGAACTGTAAGTCCAATTAAACCTCTTTTTCTTTCCAGTCTCAGGTATGTCTTTATCAACAGAGTGAAAATGAACTACTACATTAAATTGGTACCAGTAGACTAGCATCCTGCTGAAAAGATACCTGAAAATGTGGAAGTGACTGGAACTGGGTAAACAGGTTGGAACAGTTTGGAGGGCTTGGAAGAAGATAGGAAAATGTGGGAAAGTTTGGAACTTCCTAGAGACTTGTTTAATAGCTTTTGAATCAGAAAAATGCTGATAGTGATATGAACTATGAGGTCTAAGCTCGGGTGGTCTCAGATGGAGATGAGGAACTTGTTGAGAAATGGGGCAAAGGTGACTCTTGTTATGTTTATAGCAAAGACTGGTGGCATTTTGCCCCTGCCCTAGAGATTTGTGGAATTTGAACTTGAGAGAGATGACTTAGGGTATCTGGTGGAAGACATTTCTCAGCAGCAGAGCATTCAAGAGGTGACTCAGGTGCTGTTAAAGGCATTCAGTTTTATAAGGGAAACAGAGCCTAAAAGTTTGGAAAATTTGGAGCCTGACAATGCAATAGAAAAGGAAATCCCATTTTCTGAGGTGAAATTCAAGCCTGCTGCTGAAATTTGCAAAAGTAACAAGGAGCCGAATGTTAATCCTCGAGACAATGGGTAAAATGTCTCCAGGGCATGTCAGAGGTCTTCACAGCAACTCCTCGCATCACAGGCCCAGAGGCCTAGCAGGAAAAAATGGTTTTGTGGGCTGGGCCCAGGGTCCCTGTGCTACATGCAGCCTAAAACTTTGGTGCCCTGCATCCCAGAAGCTCCAGCCATGGCTGAAAGGGGCCAATGTAGAGCTCAGGCTGTGGCTTCAGAGGCTGCAAGCCCCAAGCCTTGGCAGCTTCCACATGGTGTGAGCCTGTGAGTGCACAGAATTCAAGAACTGGGGTTTGGGAACCTCTGCCGAGATTTCAGAAGATGTATGAAAATGCCTGGGTGCCCAGGCATAAGTTTGCTGTAGGGGCAGGACTCTCATGAAAAACCTCTGCTATGACAGTGCAGAAGTGAAATATGGGGTTGGAGCCCCCACACAGAGTCCCTACTGCGGCATCACCTAGTGGAGCTGTGAGAAGAGGGCCGCTGTCCTCCAGACCCCAGAATGGTAGATTCACTGACAACTTTCACCATGTGCCTGGAAAAGTCACAGACACTCAACACCAGCCTGTGAAACAGTTGAAAGGAAGGCTGCACCCTGCAGAGCCACAGGGCCAGAGCTGCCCAAGACCATGGGAACTCAACAATTTCATCAGAGTGACCTGAATGCAAGATATGGAGTCAAAGGAGATCTTTTTGGAGCTTTAAGATTTGACTGCCCTCCTGGATTTCAGGCTTGCATGGGCCCTGTAACTCCTTTATCTTGGCTGATTTCTCCCATTTGGAATGGCTGTATTTGCCCAATACCTGTACCCCCATTGTATCTAGGAAGTAACTAGCTTGCTTTTGATTTTACAGGCTTGTAGGTGGAAGGATCTTGCCTTGTCTCAGATGAGACTTTGGACTGTGGACTTTTGGATTAATGCTGAAATGAGTTAAGACTTTGGGGGACTGTTGGGAAGGCATGATTGATTTTGAAACGTGAGGACGTGAGATTTGGAGGAATTAGTGGAATGATATGGTTTGGCTCTGTGTCCCCACCCAAATCTCATCTTGAATTGTACTCTCATAATTCCTATGTCTTATGGGAGGAATATGGTGGGAGATAATTTGATTCATGGGGGAAGTTTCTCCCATACTGTTTTTGAGGTAGTAGACAAGTCTCACAAGATCTAATGGTTTTATCAGGGGTTTCTACTTTTGCATGTTCCTTATTTTCTCTTGCTGCCACCATGTAAGAAGAGCCATTCACCTTCTGCCATGATTCTAAGGCCTCCCCTGCCATGTTGAACTGTATGTTTAATTAAGCCTCTTTTTCTTCCCAGTCTTGGGTATGTCTTTATCAGCAGTGTGAAAATGGACTAAAACAGAAGTCATTAAAATTTAAAGCTCCAAAATAATCTCCTTTGACTCCATGTCTCACATCCAGGCCACACTGATGCAAGCGGTGAGCTCCAAAGGCATTAAGCAGTTCTGCCCCTGTGGCTCTGCAGAGTACAGCTACAGCCCCTGCAACTGCTTTTACAGGCTGTTTCTGAGTGCCTGCAGCTTTTGCAGGTGCATGGTACAAGATATTGACGGATCTACCATTCTGGGTCTGGAGGACAGTGGCTCTCTTCTCACAGCTCCATTAGCCATTGCCCCATTGGGGGCTCTCCATGAGGGATCCAACCCCACATTTCCTTTCTGCACTGCCTTAATAGAGGTTCTCCATGAGGCCTTTGCCCCTGCAGCAGACTTCTATCTGGACATCCAGGTGTTTCCATACATCCTCTGAAATCTAGGTGGAGACTCCCAAGCCTTAACTCTTGCCCTGTGCATACCCACATGCTTAACACCACATGGAGGCTGCCAAAACTTGGGGCTTGCACCCTCTGAAGCAATAGCCTGAGCTGTACCTTGGCCTTTTTAGCCATGGCTGGAGCTGGAGTGGCTTGGACACAAGGCACCATGTCCTGAGGCTTCACAAAGCAGTGAGGCCCTGGGCCTAGGCCTCTTAGCCTGTGATGGCAGGGGCTGCTGCAAAGGTCTCTGAAATACCTTGGAGGCATAGTCCACATTGTCTTGGCTATTAACATTCAGGTCTTCTTTATTTATGGAAATTTCTGCCGGCTTGAATTCCCTCCTAGATTTTTTTGTTTTTTCTACCACATGGCCAGCCTGAAAATGTTCCAAACTTTTATGCACTGCTTCTGATATGGTTTGGCTGTGTCCCCACACAAATCTCAACTGGAATTGTAACAATCCCTACGTGTTAAGGGTGAGGCCAGGGGGGGATAAAGGAATCATAGAGGCCATTTCTCCTGTACTGTTTTCATGGTAACAAATAAGTCTCATGAGATCTGATGGTTTTATTAATGGGAGTTCCCCTGCACAAGCTCTCTTGTCTGCTGCCATGTAAGATGTGACTTTGCTCATTTGCCTTCTGCCATGATTGTGAGGCCTCCCCAGCCACGTGGAACTGTGAGTGCATTAAACCTCTTTTCCTTTATCAATTACCCAGTTTCGGGTATGTATTTATTAGCAGCATGAGTACAGACTAATACAGCTTCCCTTTTAAATGTAAGTTTGTTTCAGGTCACTTATTTGTTTATGCAAATGTGCTAGGCTTTTAGAAGCAGCCAGACCACATCTTGAACACTTTGCTGCTTAGAAATTGCTTCCAAGAAATACACTAAATCAAGCTTGTCCAACCCATGGCCCGCAGACCACATGTGGCCCAGGGTGGCTTTGAATGTGGCTCAACACAAATCCATAAACTTTCTTTAAAATAAGTCAGGCACGGTGGCTCACATCTGTAATCCCAGCACTTTGGGAGGCCGAGTCGGGCTGATTATGAGGTCAAGAGACTGAGACCATTCTGGCCAACCTGGTGAAACACCATCTCTACTAAAAATACAAAAATTAACTGGGTGTGGTGACATGCACCTGTAATCCCAGCTACTACGGAGTCTGAAGCAGGAGAATCCCTTGAATCCAGGAGGCAGAGGTTTCAGTGAGCCGAGATCATGCCACTGCACTCCAGCCTGGCAACATAGTGAGACTCCATCTCAAAAAAAAAACTTTTTTTTTTTTGAGATTTCGTCTCTCTCTCTCTCCCCCTTTTAAGCTCATCAACTCTCATTGGTGTTAGTGTACTTTATGTGTGTGAAACCAATTCTTCTTCTATTAATGTGGCCCAGGGAAGCCAAAAGATTAGACACCCCTTCCTTATATCATCTCTCTCAAGTTCAAAGTTCCATAGGTGCCAAGAGCATGAGCACAATGCTGCCAGTCTCTTTACTAAAGAATAGCAGGAGTGACCTTCATTCCAGTTCCCAATAAGTTCCTCATCTTCATCTGAGACATCCTGAGCCTGGACTTCATTGTCCATAATACTATCAGCATTTTGGTCGAAACCATTCAATAAGTCTCTAGGAAGTTCCAAACTTTCCCTCAACTTCCTGTCTTCTTCTGATCCCTCCAAACTGTTCCAACCTCTACCCATTACTCAGTTTCAAAGCTGCCTCCACATTTTCAGGTATCTTTATAGAAATCACCCACTTCTGTGGTACCAATTTTCTGTATTAGTCCATTCTCACACTGCTATAAAGAATTACCTGAGACTGGGTAATCTATTTTAAAAAAGAGGTTTAATTGACCCACAGTTCTGCACCCTGTACAGGAGGCATGGCTCAAGGGACCTCAGGGTACTAATAATCATGGTGGAAGAAGGGGAAGCCAGCACTTCTTACATGGCCAACAGAAGAGAGAGAGAGCAAGAGGAAGAGAGAAAGAGAGAGAGAGAGAGAGAGAGAGAGAAAAAAAGGGAAGGAGGAAGTGCTATGCACTTTCAAATAACCAGATCTCCTGAGAACTCTATTATGAGAACAGCAAGGAGGAAGTCCACCTCCATGATTTAATCACTTCCCACCAGGTCCCTCCTCCAACAATGTGAATTACAGTTGGACATGAGATTTGGGTGGGGACAGAGAAAAACCATATCAAATAGACAAATGAGATTACATCAAGCTAAAAATTTTCTGCAGCAAAAACAATAAGCAAAGTGAGGAGAGAATCCATAGACTGGGATAAAATACTTGCAAACTATCTGTTTGACAAGAGATTTATAAACAGACTATACAGGGAGCTCAAAGAACAAATTGCAAGAACAAACAAACAAATATCCAATTTAAAAAAGGGCAAGAGATTTGAACAAATACCTCTTTAAGGAAGACATATAAAGGGCCACCACATACATGAAAAAAATTCTTAATATCACTAATCATGAGAGAAATGCGAATTTAAACAATAGTGAGATATTATCTCACCCCATTTTAAATGGCTTTTATCAAATATTTTACAAAATTTGATAAATAACAAATGCTGATGAGGTTGTGGAGAAAGGGGAACCCTGGTATACTGTTTGTCAGTGGGAATGTAAATTAGTTCAGATACTGTGGAGAAAAGTATGGCGGTTCCTCAAAAAAAAAAATAGAGCTATGATATGATCTAGCAATTTCAATACTGGATATAAAAGAAAGGAAGTCAATGTCTTGAAGAGATATCTGTACTAAAGTTTATGGCAGTGCTATTCACAGTAGATCAATGTATGTTCACATCAATTGATTAAAGAATAAAGAAAATGTGGTATGAAACAGAAATGGACTATTATTCAGCCATAAGTAAGAATGAAATCCTGTCATTTGTAGCAACAAGGATGAAACTGGAAGTCATTATGTTAAGTGAAGTAAGCCAAGCACAGAAAGACAAATACCACATTTCCTGATTCATGTGGGGCTAAAAAAAATTGTATCTCATGAAGACTGAGTAGCTGGTGGTTACCAGAGCCTGAGAAGTGTGGGTGATGGATGCATAGTAGTTGATTAATGGAACCAAATATATGGTGTAATAAAATTGATAAGACCTATTGTTCGACAGATTAGCAGAGTGACTCTAGTTAACATTATTCTATTGTACTTTTCAAGTTGCTAGAAGACAATAATTTGAATGTTCATAGCATAAAGCAAAGCTAAATATTTAAGGTGATGGAGATTCCAAATATATTGACTTGATCTTTACAAATTATATGAATGTATTAAATTATCACATGTACCCCCAAAACATACATGTGTATTATGCATCAATTAAAAAACCACAAGTACCAGAAACAAGTAATGTTATTAACACATGTGCAGAGTTTTGAGGGTTAATAGTGTTTCCTCATTCTTATATTTGCTGAGCTCACTATTTTTAAAAGAAAAGAGAAGCAGTGAGGAAAGGAGGGAGAAGTGGAAAAGAGAGAGAAAGAGATGTTATTTTTTATTTAGCATTTCATCTAATCTAATAGTTAATAATTTAACCTTACAGAGCAGGGGAAACAAAGTTTTTTTCTCCCTAATATTAGTAAATATGCGATAATATCATAACAGTCTCAAAATATTGACATGTTGAACTGTTGCTTAGGTATCTTATTAAAGTACTTGATTGCCTAAACTGGTATCAACATTTTATATGAAAAACGGTTAAAAAGCACATTTTCTAACCAGACTACTGTGCACCGATGAACACTTCTAATTAAACATAAATGTTTTCTTACATTTGCTAGTGAATTTAGTGAACTTCCCACATATCTACAGTATTATTTCAGCACCATCAAAGGCAATCTAGTAACCTACAGCTAAAAGTTAGCTCTAAAATTGAATATGATAAAATTATTTAGCCACAAAATACTTTCTTTAATACAATACTTTTGTTTGGATTTTCCATAATATACCAATCATTCTACCAAGAGAAAGATTTGCAACTATTGTTTCTGTTTTCATCACAAGCTGATAATATTATTTCTATAAGGGAGTGAGAAAATTAGCTTAATTCCTGCTAAAATATAGGTTAACAATAACACACAAACCTTTGTAAATTACTTGAATAAGGTTTTTTTGTTGACTTCTTGTATTAGTCCAGTTTTATGCTACTGAGAACGACATATCTGAGACTGGGTAATTTATAAAGTAAAAGAAGTTTAATGGACTTCCAGTTCCACGTGGTTGGGGAGGCCTCACAATCATGGTGGAAGGCAAAAGGCACGTCTTACACAGCCACTGCAAGAGAGAATCAGAGAGCCAAGTGAAAGGGGTTTCCCCTTATAAAACCATGAGCCTTATTTCATAAGCCTTAATCACTACCACGAGAACAGTATGGGGGAAACTGCCCCCATGATTCAATTATCTCCTGCCAGGTCCCTCCCACAACACATGGGAATTATGGGAGCTACAATTCAAGATGAGATTTGGGTGGGGACACAACTAAATCATATCACTTGTTTTCCTCCTTTGTTTTGCTTTCTTAAAAGAAAGACATTTAAGATTGCAGGGAGTTCTGGGTATTGTTTTATTAGGGTACTCGAGAAATGCATCAAGTTGGAATTTGTTATGGACACTCAATGTGATATGATATGCACATACATTGAACCAGATTGTTTAAAACACTACTGGAAAGTTTAGGTTTCTAACAGTTTATTTTAGATAATTAAATTTCTACTTAGTGAAGAAAATGTTTTCTCTGTGTGAAAGCTGGAATACAGTAATATAAGCCTTTTTTGGCCAAAAGACACCACTGGGGTGGACGCACAATCCTTGGGTTGTGCCCACAGAATCAATCACTTCTTTTTTTTTTTTTTTTTTTTTTTTTTTTTTGTGAGACGGAGTCTCACTCTGTAGCCCAGGCTGGAGTGCAGTGTCATAATCTCGGCTCACTGCAACCTCCACCTCCCTGGTTCAAGCAATTCCCCTGCCTCAGCCTCCCGAGTAGCTGGGATTACAGGCGCATGCCACCATGCCCAGCTAGTTTTTTTGTATTTTTAGTAGAGATGGGGTTTCACCATGTTGGCCAGACTGCTCTCAAACTCCTGACCTCAGGCAATCTGCCCGCCTCGGCCTCCCCAAGTGCTGGGATTACAGGCAGGAGCAACCACGCCCGGCCACTTCTTTCCTTACTTATACAAATGTACCTCATAATTCATTTCATTCCATATTTTCTTGTCATTTAATTTCACTGCCAAAACATGTCACAATTCTGAATAAATTTTAATATACTTTTAAAATATACTAATTCTCAATGGATTTCCAATATATTTTAAAATATACTCATCTAAATTATTTCTAAAGTTTGGCCCAGGGACTCCCCAGGAGCCCCCATGACTTCACCAAGGGAAGTTGAATTTCAAAACTATTTATATAATAATATTAATGCATGATTTGACAGTTTTCCTCTTATTCTCTTATGATTGCTCAATTTGGTTTTCCAGCGAATACCTGGAGATTGATGACATTATTATCCTAATACCCATTACAGTGTGTGCTTGTGCATTCTTGTGTTTTAAAATTTTCTCAGATTTATTTTTTAATCAGTGATAAATATAATTCGTCTAAACAAAAGCTTTCTGGGACTCTCAATGATATTTAAACTTGTAAAAGTTTCCTGAGATCAAAATATCTGAAAATTGCTGACCTCAAATTTTCTTTATAGTATTCAAGAATAAGGCACTACATCTTATTTTATAACAGGAAATTAGAAAAAAATTACCAGTAAGCATACTACTTATACCAGACATTTCTCTTAAGGACAATGGTTTGTATCACTGCAGTAGGCTATTTGCTACTTAAAACTGAACTCGAAAAATGAATAAACACTTCCACATATAGAGAAATGTGCATAGCTGTCCACAGTGCAAAGTGTTTCACAATTGCCTCTGCTCTAAGCATCTCCCCAACACAATAAAAATCTACCAATAAAATTTTTGCTCCCATTTTGGAAGCATTCATCCTCATGTTCTCATCTAAACACTTCTTTTCCCCATGGTATTTTAGCCTCTAAGGCTAATATTGTGATTTGAGATATGATCTCCTAAGTAAACATATTCTGTGCTAATTTCATTGATTTGACTAATACAACTATTTTTGAAAATACCTTATATCTATTTTCATTGGATAGGAGGATTCTAAATTGTAGCAAATCACTTTTTCTATAATTCTATATAAATAGAATTGAATGCTAAGAAACTTGTTTGTTGGTAAAACAATAAAATAGACTGCACAGGATATCTTTGATTGGTGCTGTTGAAATATAGCATTGCCTAAACTGGAATGTTTCAATCAAATTTGGATATCCTTCAAGCTCTAGGTATCACTACAAGAGTCAAACTATCTAAAGAGAAGTGGGAGGTTGAGGCTCTTGGCATAACTTCTTCAAAATTTATTTCAGTATAAGACATTTTTGGAAGAAATACATCAACAGCTAAAAGGAACAAAACAATGATAGTGATATTGATGATGAAGTTTTAATTATAGGCCTGTACCACATAAAAGCCATTCATGTCATAACCTATTTGGAAAGAGAATGTTGGATGAGATTTACTCTCATAGTCCTTCCAGCTCTGCCATTGTCTCATAACTGTTAATGTCACTTACATTCAGTGCTGGCTGGTAAAAATAACAACAAAGAAATTCTCAAAAGCCCATTTGGTAAAGATTGAGGAGCACCGAATGAGCCTCACTTGCATTGTCATGTGACTATGCTCTTCCCAAATAATCTGCCATGTATTAAAGAAGAATAAATGATCATCACCATATGTTACATACAGTCTCTTTTCCAGTCCTCTGAGATCACTTTTTCTGTCTTTTCAATCCCTAAAGCATTGTGTCTGAGGACTAAGTTCCTCTCTAGGGTGTATTTTGGCTGTGGAGAAAATGAATACTGCCAAAAAACATCACTATGTACCTTCTTAATTCTATTTCATGAACACATTCTTGGAGGCAGAAATACGTAAATACCTGAATTTGTTTCTGATACACAGGCTATTTGGTCTAGATCCTGCTGCTTGCAACACAGACAGCTAATGATTGAGACAAGGAGTATTCCCCAAGAAGAAGGCTTTAATTGGGTGCTGAATGAAGCCTAAGATATGGAAAATCAGCTTCAAGTCCATCTCCCTGACTGACTAAAATTAGGGGTTTATATAGCAGGAAAGGAATGTAACTAGCATGGGAAAACAGAAATGGGGTGGTAAGGAAAGAAGTCATCATGATGAATGAGAGGCTTGGTTTCTCATTGTCTGGATGCAATAATCTGATGAGTCTCAGTTCTTTCATACTTTTTGAGAGGACTTGGATTCTTTCCTGAGGAAGGGACTCAGACAAAACCAATATGTTTCAAGCTTTTCGACCAAAATAATCGATTTCTATATTTATCTAAAAAAAGCTGTTTATGAGAATATTGGGTTGGTTTCAAATTGAGGGAAATGCTATTTAGTACCATATGAATAGAGTACAGTATAAATTTAAGGGAGTTGTACAATTGTTTAGAAAAAGTTAGGTGGGGCAATAATATGAATATCCATGGAGAATATTCTTAACTTGGTAGGCTCTGGAGAATAAAGAAAGTTTTCAAACAGAAACAAACATTATTTGGGACTGTACATTAGGGAAATGCAACTTTTTGCTCTCTAAAGTCCTACTACAGCACATATATATGAGCCTGTTGTATCAGTTGCCTACTAGAATTACAACTGCAAGAGTTAATACACTGCCTTCATTTATTGACTTAAATATTTGTTCATTCATTCATTTGTTAAACAGTCATCTACTGAATGAGAAAAGGCATGCTATATATTGTGAATAAAAAATAAGTAAAATATGGTTGAGTTGAGTTCAGAGTATTCCAATTCTAAAAATGATATGTAGGCTTGCGCTTATAGAATTGGGGTTTAGTAAAATGTTAACAAAGTGAAAAAAGGAAAAATAATGTTCCTTTTAAACAAAGGCACAGAGCTGCAAAAATGCCTGATGTAATGAAGGAAAGGTTGGATCATTACGACTAATATAACAATTGTATTTCAAGGTGTTTGTGTCTCATTTACTTTTATATCCCTAGTCACAAACAAAGTAGGTGCTCAATAAAGGTTCTGTGATTGAATCAGAGTTATTTAGGGACATTTTTTGTAAGTGGTTTTTATGTGCTAGTAATTTAATAATTATTATGAATTATATGATTTAACTTTTTTTTTTTTTTGAGACGGAGACTCACTCTGTCATCCAGGCTGGAGTGCAGTGGTGCAATATCGGCTCACTGCCACCTCTGCCTCCCAGGTTCAAGCAATTCTCGGCCTCAGCCTCCAAAGTAGCTGGGATTACAGGCATCCGCCACCATGCCCAGCTAATTTTTGTATACTAAGTATAAACAGGGTTTCAGCATCTTGCCTAGGCTGGTCTTGAACTCCTGACCTCGTGATCCACCTGCCTCGGCCTCCCAAAGTTCTTGGATTACAGGCGTCAGCCACCACGCCTGGCTGAATTACATAATTTAATAGTTACCAAAATCTTCTAAGGTATTTCATTTCTTTTTCTAGTAAAGCAATCATAAATAATGGTAACAGGAGGCAGCCAAATGCCTAGGTAGATAAGGGTGAGTACCCAGTGAATCCCCACCTCCAAGCTGAAAAGAGTTCAAAGGCTGAAACCCAAGCTGCATGTTAATCCTTGGACTAAATTGAGAACTTGTCTTCCCAGTTAGTGTGCTGTCCCCTGATTTATCCCCACCATTCACCTATTTCATATATGCCTACCCTTTTGTAATTGGTTATCTACACTGTCATGCCCACCTTTGAGTGGTGCCTTCACTTTAACCTTTTTTGCATACTCACAAATCAATCAGCACACACTCCCCACCCTGTTCCTATAAAGACCCCAGACTCAGTTGATAAGAGGAGAGAACCATCCAACTGTGGGGGTGGTAGACCACCCCCCAAATCCCCTCTGCACTGAGAGCTGTTCCATCACTCAATAAAATTATTCTCCTCATGCTTCAATGTCCAGTATATTCTCATTCTTCTTGGTCATGGTATAAGAGCTCAGGAATCGCTGAATGTGGGCACAAGCAATACCACAGATGAGCTGGGGCATGCCAGCATGGCTGAGCATGGCTCGAGTTGGGCATCACCACCAGGGGTCTCTGGCTTACAAAGTGACTGAAAAGAAAAATCCTACATCATTTTGGGGGCTCACCCAGGATACCTGAAGGGGGAACAAATGCAGACCTAGACTCTTCACTTTTTTTTCAAGGCTTATTGTCCTCAGACATTTCTGAAGGCACATGAAGAGCCGAACCTCTGGTGAGCCAATTAAGAATGAGTGGCCCAGCTACAGAGGACAGGATCCTGGAGAGGACCCTAACACTTCCCTTCTCCCCACCACCATTGCTCTCGGTGGTTGAGAATGTCAGCTTTGTTCCAATCCAGTCTTTCTGTGGCATTTTCCTTATTTTATTTTGGGGTTGTCATGGCACCTATGTCTTCTTTTACAATGTTAAAAGCATTGGCACAAGCTACAGAGATATTAGTGGGTGAAATGAGCATTTGGCTCAGCCATCAGATATGCAATTCAGGACAATGTGGTTTCCATCTATTCTTAGAGGCAAAGAGGAAGCAGAGAACACATTTGCATAAAGCCTCAGCATTTTCTTCCCAGGCATCTTTTCTGCCCTGCACTTACACTTTTTCTTCTTTTCTCCACCATGTCAGGAGTTCACATAGGCCTGCAAATACAGAATGCTTTTCTATGCAAGAGTTTTTTGTTTGTTTGTTTGTTTGTTTGTTTGCTCCTTTTGAAAGGCATCTCTCTAGGCCAGGACTTCAATTCATGAAACTCCCTAACTTAATGAGTCCACACACCCTCTGGAGACACCTTTTTGTCCCAAACTCAATTCCAAGCTTCGGGTTGAAGCCCTAAAAGAGAAAACTAGATCTGATGGATACAAACACAGGCAACAATGGAAGTCAAGGGCACAGTGCAGGTGAGCATGACTAATTCCTGCCAAATAGCCCTCCTTTTCATGAATAGAGGTCATGCTGCTATCCATGGCATAAACGAGGGATGGGAAACTCAAAGGTTGCCGACAGCATGGGGGAAAGGCAGTATATGGGTGAGTGTGGATAATTCCCACCCTCTAGGCCCCCTGTAAACATGGATGAAAGCCACATTGGCACCCATAGGCGGCACTCTGCCAAGGTTGCCAGGACTTGGAGATACAAGGACAGAATAAGGAAGGGGGACATCATTTCTTTCTCTTCTTCATGTACCTCGGGTATTCACTGGGAAGAGAAAAGAACTAAAAGACATCTTTTTTGACATCTTTCCAGATGGGTAACCTATCATCTTCAATCTTTACTTCTCTTGAATGCCTTGTGAATCACTGGGACTCCATTGAAGAAACAACAACCACAACAAAAAGCCCTTCTTTTCTCTTTTTGCTCCTCTGTCCCCTTTGTGCATGGGTAATTGCATTGCTGTACCACCTGACACTCCCCTCAGATGCATCCCCAAGCTGGGAAAAGTTTATTTCCCCAAACATTAAATGGCTTGGCTTTAAATTGAGTTCATGGGAAGGGAACCCAGAAGCCTGACATGTCAGCAAAAGGGTAAAAGTTTTTAACTAGTCAGACTGGTGGTCTCTCTCTCCCTGTGCGAACTGGCAAAAGGAATGATAAAGATCACTGTTTATATCCTCTGTAAAGTTTTAATTAATGGAAAAAAAAGATTTGTTAGGCTAGTCTTAAGCTGTGTTGAATCTGTTGTACTTTGTGCTTTGTGTGTCTTTCTGCATGGTTCTGTCATAAGGAAAAATATCTTAGGATAGCACATGGGTCAAGGACCCCATAATCCCACTGTTCAAGCCAGACCAGCAAACTGGTTAGTAACAAACTTTGCCGCAGGACTCCATCTTGTATTACATGCTTGAAGCTTGACCCTGTAACAACAGGGCAATATTTTCTTTGGTCTCTGCCATTTTACAATGGCAGTTCAGATTCATTCCTAGCTTAGAAAATTAGTACTTTCTGGTTAATATCTGTGTTACTTTTTTCATTTGCTGAGTCTCTTCCCCTCCATGAACAAATTCTAGCTTCCTTTCTTAAATCTTCCTTTTTCTGAGCTACCTTTAAAGAGTGTAGACTTTGTAAAAACTGCTTACCACCTCTTTGAAAATACCTTGTACACTTGCAGTTAAGTCATAACCTTAGTTGAGGCTTGTTGGTTTCACCTGTGAGATTACTTTTGGTGAAGTTCAAAAGTCAGAAATATTGGCAGCTTAGTATGACTAAAGTAAGGTAACACAGAATTTAAAAGGATTTTCTTAAAGAGCACCATGGCTAAAAGTCAGCATAATTAAAAGTGGATATCCAAGCTATAGGAATAATTAAAAGAGTTCATGGATTTTTCTCTTCTTGGATCTTGTTTCTCTGGAAAAGATTTTTTTCTCCGTAGACTGAATTACTTTTCTCCATTTTGTCTTGCCACTCTTAGTGCACACATGAGAGGCCCTAATATAGCTTCTGAAAGCATGGGACTCTGGGAAAAACAGAGAGGGCACCATGGACCCATTTTAGGGAAAAAAAAGACAACACCTGTTTTCCTCATGGAACAACAGCAATTAAAAGTGAATAGATCCCTCTCAAAATACATTTTTGTCTTCCATCTATGCCTGCTTGTTAGGCCCTGGAAATTGCATGCTTTCCTAGCCTTCCTTCTTGAAGGGCTCCACCCTGACTGAGGCCAGTAATCCAATTAGGAGATTGGCAAATGAAAAATCTTACAACTACTGGATCTTCTTCTGTCTGGCTGTGTAATCATATATGAGTTATGTATGTGATGTTTATTAAAAAGAGCTCTATCTAATTGGCCTAACCAAAAATAAGCACTTGGATCAAATATTTTTTGAAGGAAAAATAAAAGCTTGAATACCTTTTAATGCATGTGACTTTAATCTCTGAAAAATAAAAGCATTTTGAAAGATTACTGGTAAAATGCAAATGTCTTCAAAATGTAAATATGTGGTCTAGATTATGCAGGTCAAATACCAGGTCTGGTAAATGTTATAAACTATTTCTTTGGCTTTCGAGAACTGTGTAACTTGCCTGCTTTACAATTTGGTAAGGCCTGAAGTCACATGGAACTCACCATGCCCATAACTGCGTTGGAAAGAGTCAGACGTTAGCTGCACCTAGTACATAACTAAAATAACTTACCAGGTATTACATTAAAATTTAAAACTGTGAAATGTTGCCATTATAACATGTTACTGAGATTACTGAAAATAGATTTAGGCCAGGTGTGGTGGCTCATGCCTGTAATCTCAGCACTTTGGGAGGCCGAGGTGGGCAGATCACAAGGTCAGGAGACTGAGACCATCCTGGCTAACATGGTGAAACCCCGTTGCTACTAAAAATACAAAAAATTAGCCAGGTGTAGTGGTGGGAGCCTGTAGTCCCAGCTACTCGGGAGGCTGAGGCGGGAGAAGGGCATGAACCCAGGAGGCGGAGCTTGCAGTGAGTCAACATCGCGCCACTGCACTCCAGCCTGGGCGACAGAGCAAGACCCAAAGACATTTTGTCACTGACAGACAATTGTTGTCTTGTTTTGATCCTTTTCACAAGATGGTTTATAATCAGCTATGGGACTTTGACAGGTGCTCTCAAATGCAGGTTTGTGATAACTTTGGAGAGTGTGACATTGGTATAGAGGAAAACACAGGACTCGTGAAGGGCTGAAATGTTCGTGCATATCAAGAAGATCAGGAGTTAACAGAGTGGACTGAACTAATAGAAAACTGAAATAATCTTTTTAAGTTTTTGCTTAAAATGTTGCTGATCCTTGTTTTGTTTTTCAGAGTCAATGAAACTTTTCTTTTGAGCTATCTACAGCTTTTTACAATTGAGTAAGGTAACAAAATGTGGAGCATATTTGTTTATGTCTGCCTGGTTTCTATAGAATCTGGAAACTATTTGTGAGTATTTTCAAATTAGGCATATAGTTATTTGCATCAGTGCAATAAGAATCCGTTTTCTTTTGCAACAGGAAACAATTGGAGATGCTGGTTGTTTTACCAATGCTTTTACTAGAATGGTTTGCTTTTCCTTTAGGGAATCAAGCTTGACTTGCAGAGCCAATAAAATCCCCTTGGGAAAACTGTCCACATACCTTGTCTGCACAGTCCCTGTACAGGTTTCCTAACCTGTGGTGAGTAAAAAATGTCACTTTCTAACAGACCCAGGACGCCCTTGTTATTGGGACCTCAAGAAGAGAGGAATTTACCTAACTCACAGGTATTTGAGGGTACAAACCCATAGCTGGGCTCAGCTTTAAAAAGTTTTATGAGGTTCCTTGTTGAACGGAGTCCCACTAAAGCCAATTTAAAAAGCCTATGTGAAAGATGATTATTCTTGCTGCACTTTATGCAAATTATCAGGCCATGTGTAAGGCTAAAGTCTACTTTGCAAACAACACAGTCCTATCATGATTTGTTTTTACAAAAATGAGGACGGGAGAGAGAAAAATTATGTTTCAAAACTTATCATACACTTGTCATTGAATTCTACACTCATTAGTTCTTTCAAAGTTTTTGCCTGCATTTTAGACTAACCCTGCTTATTCCTGTGAACTAACCAGTGATCTCCACCTTCAGTTCAAGAGAAACAAAAGGGATAGGTAATGTAAAAATCTGGATCAATATTCTAGTTCTGGGCAATTATCCTGCAAAACCTACCAGGTGACTGGAATAAAGAGGGTGCCCATAACCCAGAGGTTTTTTTCGGAAAATAAGTCCAAGGGAGCTAACCAAACCAAGCCCCATGCACCCAAATCCTAGCAGGCATAACTATAGCCACCAGTTATCTGGGTGTGTTGGCAGCCTCGGGAGTTTTAAGCTGTCCTTACCCCCTTTGTTTCATTTGGACACATGTCTTCTAATAACCTGGTTTGTCTCTTCTCACCTTCAAGCCATCAAACTCCAAACAGTCAGGCAACCGGAGCCTCAAACAATGGCTGCCTTTTACTGGGACCCCTAGATAGGTCTCTGAGGGAAATCTGACTGTGGTTTTCCCAAAACAGTACCCCCTGTCAGCAGGAAGCAGTTAAGATCAGTCTTTATCCCTATTCTAATGAGGTGGTGTCTTCACTTTGAGTGGTGTCTTCTCTTTAACCTTTTTTGCATACTCACAAACCAATCAGCATGCACTCCCCCCATCCTGTGCCTATAAAGACCCCAGACTCAGTCAATAAGAGAAGAGAACTACCCAACTGTGGGGGTGGGGACCCACCCCAAAATCCCCCCTGCACTGAGAGCTGTTCTGTCACTGAAATTTCTTCTCTGCCCTCCTCCTCATTCAATGTCCAGTGTGTACTCATTGTTCTTGGGAGCAATACAAGAGCCTGGCAACTGATGAATGCAGGTACTCACTACAACACAGGCCAGCTGGGGCACACCAGCATGGCTGAGAATGGGCCGGGCAGGGTGTTGCTGGCTGGGGATCCCTGGATTGCAAAGTGACCAAGAAGAAAAATCCTACATCATAAATACTTTTCTATACTAAAAACATACTATGTAGAAATTCAACATTAAAAGTAAATTGTTTTGTCTTCCAACCTTCATGATTCACATAAAAAGAGATATATAAGGCTATTTCAAAAAGACATAATAATAATATGACAACATTACTAATATCATTTATTCTGCATTTTAAATATGCAGGCACTGTCCTAATCACTTTCCGGACATCACCTCATGAATCCTCACACTAACCCTAGAAATTAAATTAAGCTATTGTGAACCCATTAAATTAAAGTAAGCAGGGTTAGCTAGGTAAATTAAGAACTTTACTCAGGGTCTTCCAGCAATAAGTAATAGGGTCAAAATTCAAAATTAGTTTCGTTTGACTTTAAAATTGGTATCTATAATGACCTAATTATACTGCCAGTGGCATACAGATAGAGAGAGATTTGTGGACATCTATTGAGTATGTGACACTTTTTAAAAATTTTCACTTGGTTCCTAACGGCTTGAAGGCTTTTTAACTCTTATTTATCTCAAATCTTTATCCTATACATACATTGATTTAATAGAGTTTTAGTATGGTAATAAGACATGTGCATTTCCTTATCGTAATATTCACAAATGATTTCTTAAACAGATATTTTATTTCTCAAAATTATTTCTAGAGTTCTAAATAAATAAGGCTCCTTGATCACACCATTAATTGTGCGTACTGACTCATAGAAGGAACTTGATAAGCCTCAGCTCAGTTCATGCCCTGCAAAATGAGCAAATGAATGAATTCTTGTGGGTGGAATTCATAATGGAAGAATCAAGAGGTTACATACAAGAATGCATTTTTTTCGACATTTTGGAATTATTTTCTTTTGGGTATATTAGTAAGTATAAACTATACTGCAGCAACAATCTCAGGGATTAAACAAAACAAAGTTTTATGTCTCACTCGCATCACACTAAGATGCAGGTTGGGGTTTTCTTATACAAGCTGCTGAAAGTAGATGCAAGAATGCATGCTAACTCACATCTTAAAGCTTCACCCTCATGCAGTACTTGTTTCCACACACACACGAAAAAAAGAATGAGGATGAGCCAATATTAAATACATTCTTAATGTCCTCAGACAGGAAATGACACATCACTTCTCATATTTGATTGAGATAACTAATTTTGTGACATAATCTAGAGGCAAAAGGACTGAAAAACAAATAGAAGAACATGGATATTTGGTATGCAATAATAATTGCTGCTAAAGTTGTTTTGATGGTTAATATTGAGTGTCAACTTGATTGGATTGAAGGGTGAACAGTATTGTACCCGAGTGTGTCTGTGAGGTGTTGCCAAAGGAAATTAACATTTCAGTTAGTGGACTGGGAGAGGCAGACCCATCCTCAATCTGGGTGAATACCATCTAATCAGCTGCCAGCATGGCTAGAATAAAGCAGGTAGAAGAAAGTGGGATAAACAGACCCTGAGTCTTCCAGCCTTCATCTTTCCCACGTGCTGGATGCTTCCTGCCCTCAACCATCAGATTCTACGTTCTTCAGCTTTTGGACTTTTGGACTTAAACCAGTGATTTGCCAGGGACTCTTGGGCTTTTGGCCACAGATGGAAGGCTGCACTGTTGCCTTCTCTACTTTTGAGGTTTTGGGACTTGGACTGGCTTCCTGGCTCCTCAGTTTGCAGATGGTCTAGTGTGGGACTTCACCTTGTGATAGTGTGAGTCAATACTCCTAATAAGCTCCTCTCTCTCTCTCTCTCTCTCTCTCTCTCTCTCCATATATATATATATTCTTTTTAGTACCCTACTCTAGTTCCCATCCATCTACTACAAACAGAAACTCTCTTTCAAAAAGCAAAACAAAATTACCATGAAGTCTTAGAAAAGGAAGCACGAGACAAGCCTGTTCTTAGGGAAAGGCATTTTTTATGAATTATAAAGTTTGAGACTGGGTAAGGATTTGAAGTCATGTCCCAAAGAACTGGTAACCTGTTCATTTTCCAGCAGTATCCCCTAATACTCATTGATCTCTGGACTCATGAGAAGTGTCTCTGCCAGTGTAGTTTGTTGTTTGAGAAACAAAAACAAGGATATTTATATCTTATTCCTGGCCACTTCAGACCAAGTACCTACTGAATCCCACTGAAGTTTACACAAAAGACTGCAGCATCTTACTTGTGAATGTCATTCTCCAAGCAAAGTATTTCCTACTTGCAGCCTTCTGTCTAACATTTTAAAATTAAAAAAGCTATGTATCAGAGGACAATAGAAATGTACATCTAAGAAAGCTATTTAATCACTTTGCTATTCTATTGCTCAAGAAGTAGCTGGTTACACATCTGACCACAGCTCCTGGGAATTAGTGATCAATGTAAAAATGTAAATACATTGAAGATACTCAGTTAATCAGATAAGTAGATATTAGAGGTAATATATAATACATTCATTCAAATATAATGCAATTTTTAAACATTTTATTTAAAAAATGATGTGTTCTCAAATTTGTTCCGGCGTTCTCCTAGAACTTCATATTATATAACAGCATTGTCTTATTTTAGCATATCATGAATATGCAACTCAACATTAAGTTGCAATCATTTTTTATCCCAGGTGAAAATGAATTCCTGGTTTGTTTTGTTTTGTTTTGCTTTTATGGTATCCATTTTTCTGTGATTTTTAGTTGTATCTGGATCCTTTCTTCTTCACACACTATCTGGCTCCAGTGACTCCAACTTTTTGTAGTGTCTCCAAAGACATTTGTGTCACCCATGATGTCTCTGCCTTTGATCATATGATTTGTTTTTTTGGATGAGGTCAACCTACCTCTTTTTCTCTATCTTACAAACCACTATTCATTCTTTTATGATGAGTTCTCGTGACCTATTTTCTGTAAAGACATCCTTAACTTCCCCAGCCAGAGTTGGACATTCTCACTCTGGACCCCATAGTACCTTATTCATGACACACTGTTGGAGTAATTTGAAAACATGGGCCAGGCGCGGTGGCTCACGCCTGTAATCCCAGCACTTTGGGAGGCCGAGGCGGGCGGATCACGAGGTCAGGAGATCGAGACCATCCGGCTAACATGGTGAAACCCCGTCTCTACTAAAAATACAAAAAATTAGCCGGGCGTGGTGGCAGGCACCTGTAGTCTCAGCTACTCGGGAGGCTGAGGCAGGAGAATGGCATGAACCCGGGAGGCAGAGCATGCAGTGAGCCGAGATTGTGCCACTGCACTCCAGCCTGGGCGACAGAGCAAGACTCCATCTCAAAAAAAAAAAAAAAGAAAACATGAATTCCTAGAGAGTCAGAATTATATTTTATTACTTTTTTTCCTTCTGCATATGTACTCCTCACAAGGGCTTGAAACTGAAAAGATTTAAAATAATTATTTACCCAAGAAAATAATTATTTCATATTACAATTTACATTGGATGAGTTAATTTGGATTTGTGGCTAATTATTTTTCTACATTAGGTACTCTGTTAATCTTTTCCATAAAGTTATCTTTGAAATACTGAAAACAAGTAAAGAAGCCTCTTTTTTCTACTTAAATCAAAGAGTAACTTAATTTTTTTATTTTCTATCACAAATATACATATACTTAACATTAAACTCTCTTTAGGATGATATGAATATGTTTATTTAGTATAATTATAATATGCTCTTGATTCAAATGACTTTAATATAAGCTGTATGTGTTCCCCTGACCTAATATATGTAGTTATACACACATAAATGCATACACAAACACACAAGCATATCTTTATAATAATGTAGCCAAAAATATATATGTACATATATATACATATAATTGATTGCTTTGTTAAATTTGATTAATTTTTTTAGTTAGAACATCAATTTTCCAACTCATTAGGTAAATATTAGCCAATTCAATCAGATCGGGCTAAGGTAAGAGAAAGTACAGGGAGGTGTAGGAAAATAGTTCCAGCAAAATAAACCACGTAACAGAGTTACAGGAATGAAAAGTCTTGGGGTAACTGAGCAACTAGAATCATAGTCACTCTTCAGTAGACAGTTCAGTTCATGATAAAACATAGGACAAGTAAAAGAAAAGAAGAGTAAGTAAGGCTGCTCTTGTATGCATGTGGGTAAGGGGTACAAGTTGATTTATTTAATAAAATAATTCATATCAAAGCCAGGACTAAATGCTCGCTGTTTCTATTATTCTAACTGAGAAAACCTAATTTTTCTTCCTTTTAATGAGAGGGATTAATCTTTCAGTAGACCCCAGAAGGGAGAACAAAGAATAACAAGTAGAAATGACAGGGAGGTAGATTTCAGGTCAAACCAAGGAAGAGTTACAGCAATTACAACTATACAAAATCGAAATGGCTCACATTAATATTACTAACAACCAACTTTACATGGTGCTTTGCAGTTTACAAACCATGTTCACATGTCCTTTTTTGTATCTAGAAAGAGCTTGGTGGCAGGCACTATGCATGCTGTGCAAATGTTAATGAAACATAGTCTCTTACTCCTGAGGGTGTCGATGTTTTCTAAATGGATGATGTGCCAGAATACCCTCAAATCACAATACTACTTATAAATTTGATTCTTATGGGAGGATTTTTGTCTGGACAACGTCATGAAGAGCTTGCTGGTAAGAAATCATTGTTTCCACAGCCTGGTCAATCCCTTCAGGAATCAGTCCTGTCAGGCAGATTTTTTTTTTCATTATCTCCATTTTATACAACAGGGAATTAGAGAGATTAAGTTAATTCTCTAAGTCATATCTAGGAAAGATGGAGTAAGGACTTAGTCACAGAACTAATACCAAATCTATGATACAATGATTTCCTTGGCACTGATGTAATTCAAAAAGAGGCAAGAAATCAATTTCTGAGGAGTTTTTAGAAGAGACTTAACTATGAAATATAAGTTGGACGTTTAGCTTGCTTTAAACTAAGAAATTAATAATTTTATCATCCTTGAGATTTAGCAACAATTCCAATCCAAATGAAGACTTTGAGTTTTTTCAAATTAATGTCGCATATTTATATCTCATCTCCCCTGTGTTGAAAATCTTGATTCTTATCAATATAAACAGATTCACTTATTTGCTTTTTTTCCAGCTGTATCAAGTCACATAAAAAGCATAATACAAATATTACTTTTTTTTTTTTGAGACACAGTTTTACTCTGTCTCCAGGCTGGAGTGCAGTGGTGTGATCTCGGCTCACCGCAACCTCCACCATCCAGGTTGAAGTGATTCTCCTTCCTCAGCCTCCCGAGTAGCTGGGATTACAGGCATGCACCACCACACATCTGGCTAATTTTGTACTTTTAGTAGAGATGGGATTTCTCCATGTTGGTCAGGCTGGTCTCAAACTCCTGACCTCAGGTGATTCGCCCACCTCGGCTCCCACAGGCATCAGCCACCACACCCGACCAAATATTATTATACGTCCTGGCTCATGCCTGTAATCCCAGCACTTTGGGAGTCTGAGACAGGTGGATCACAAGGTCAGGAGTTCAAGACCAGCCTGGCTAACACAGTGAAACTCCGTCTCTAGTAAAAATACACAAATTAGCCCAGCATGGTGGTGCTTACCTGTCATCCCACCTACCTGGGAGGCTGAGGCAGAAAAATTGCTTGAACCCAGGAGCTGGAGGTTGCGGTGAGCCGAGATCGCACCACTGAACTCCAGCTTGGGCAACAAAATGAGCCTTCATCTCAAAAGAAGGAAAAAAATATTAAAAATTGAGTAAAGATTAAGTTTTTACAATTCTTTTCTCCTTGTAAGGTATTTATTTAGAAGTTCTGTGTTCAAAATCACTAGGCACAATTTTATTTTTCTGTGTGATGTGGTACAGTTTAGTATGTAGTTCATTTTTGTTTCTATTTCTTGTTAATGTTGCAGTGCGCTCCTCCCCTTTAAATTTTTGAATAAAAATATAAAGTGTACAATTTAAATACATTGCTGGTAGCAATATAAAATGGTATAAACCCTACAAAGTTGAATTAGCGGTATTTAGCAATTTATGTGTATATTTACCTTTGCCTCAGCATTCTCACGTGGAAGAATCTATCCCAAAGAAACGCTGCAAAAATAACTAATAATTTGTCCATAAACTTATTTATTATAAAATTCTTTATAAAAGAAAAAGAATTGAAGACATCAGATCAAAATAAATAGAAAGTTAACTAAATAAAGTACAACAATATGTAAGAGTTCCTTTTCCCTACAGCTTTGTGAATGGAGTATGTTTCCAAAGTTTTGGATTTTTTCCAAGCATCCGAGATATGAGTTATAGCAGCAGAGTATAGTTTTAACTTGCATTTTCTTTAGGAGTAAAGTGAAGCAGAATTTATAAGTGCAAATGTTGTTTGTATTTTCTTTTCTGTGAGCAGTTTAGTCAGAGCTTTTGTTCATTTTTCTATTCCATTGTTGGTTTTATCTTCCTGTTTTTTAATAAAACCTTATAGACATATTAAGTGATAGCACTTTATCTATACAATATGTATAAATATTTCCCCAGTTTTCAATTTACCTTTTGATGTTGCTTGTGAAAAGTTGGATTTTCAAACATTTTATTTATTTCTGTGTTTCAACCATACAGTCAAGTTTGTCACTCTTTTTTATTGTTTATGGATTTTGAGTCATAGTTACGAGTTTTCCACACTCTGTCAGATATGAGACTGGGGCCATTTCCTCCCATGATTTTCTAATGACCCACTAATGACTTCAGACCCATGATCTTTCTTATCTGACTTTAATTGATCAATAAAGCTTTCCACTTGAAACTTGGGCTTTGGAGTAATAATAAATTTTTCAATTAAACCACCACATTTTAAAATAAGTTTGGAGCTGGTTTGTTAACAGAAAATGCTAATTAATACATTGTCCAATGCTCCTAGTTACATTTGCTTAAAAGTCCATTTTTTTCCCCTGCCAATTGCCATGTTATCTTTATCGTATACTACATTCACATAAAAAGTTGGGTCTATTTGGGATTGGTCTGTCTGTGTATATGTGCTGCATTAATACACACTGTGAAATACAAAGGCTTTTTACATGTTTTAAAATCTATGATTGCTTTTTAGAATTATGTCACTTTTTAAATAGTAGTAAAACTGTAATGGAGCTCCTCTTTTTGATTGAATAAATTAATATTATAGAAATCATAATTTCAAAAAAATTTATGTCATTGAGCAAGATAGTGAAACAGGAAGTCTCAAGCTCCACTTCCCTCCTCACAGAAAGTTCATCTAGCAACTATCCACAGACCAGAATATCTATTTGAAATACTTTGAAACAAGCCTGAGACACCTGCATGGCCTGCAGAAATGAATGAAAACCAAATTAGAAGAGTAAGAGTAAGAACGGTATCACACTGACCACGCTGCCCCTGCCGCTCCCCAAGTTGGCACCACCCCAGGAGAGGATTTCCCTGGACCTACGGTTTCCACAGGGGAAGAGAGAAGTGGAAGCAGTCACTCAGCTTCCCTAGCATTTTGAAACGCTTCCCAGGAAGACCCCTCCAGTCTCAAATCAGAGAAACACTGCGGGTAAGGGCACTGCTCCATTGCCTAGGGTCAGGTAAAAACGAAGAAGGGAGGCAGAAGTCATATTCCCCAGCCTGCGGAACTTGGTGGCACCTCCATACTCCTGCCAGCTGTACCACCCGACTGGAGATATCAGCCAACTTCCCAGCCCATCCCCAAAGTTGGACCGGTCGCCTTCAGAAGCACGGTGGGAAGTTCAACCCACTTGAGTCCCTAGATGACTAGTCTGCACGCCCAGCCTCGGAGTCCACCCCACAAACCCCGCTTAGGGAGGGTGATGTCCGCCTCTGCCCATTTTGGTGAAGCACAGGAGCTAGACCTGACTGACTGGGGAATTCAAGCAGCAGCTCCACTCAGCCAAAATGTCCACTTGCCAAGGCATTCAGAGAGACGCTGAGGCTAGACCTGCTTCACCAGGGAGGTTAAACAGCCAATGAACTCAGTCAAAAGCCCACCCCACGACTCCTCCCTTACAGGGAGGCAATGCTCAATCGTGCATTTCTAAAGAGCATAGCATCTGGCCCTTCCGTCCTTAGCACTGACTCTGCCTAACTTCGGGGTCCCGCCTGCAGCCCACCTAACTGCAGATCTCAAATCGCAGAACTGCTCAGCCAGAAAACACATCTTTTGACCCACCTGACCACAAACCATCACAGTACCCAGCCAGGAGCTCCGCCTGGTGGCAGAGCCCAGCCAGTGGCCTCAGCAGGAAGGGGCCCAGAGAGCAAACCCACCCAACATTAGAAAAAAGGCAACCAGAAAAATCCACAACAAGCTCTGCCTGCCCTGAGTCATCATCAGGCAGCCCTTCCAAAATCCAAGGCTATACTAACTAGAGAAGGCCTATCCCTGCTGAACACCTATAAAGACCAGAAGAGGGGGCTGTCTGTTATGACTTTTGATATATATATTGACAGATTTGCTTTGACATATTTTTACAAATTTGTATATGCCCTTAAAAATGTATGAAAGCTTCCAGTTCTCCCTTCATTTCACTTCATTTCTCCTTACCATGTGAATTATAAACATATATGTTTTAAAAATTGTTCCAAAAATAGGCCAGGTGCGGTGGCTCACGCCTGTAATCCTAGCACTTTGGGAAGCCGAGGTGGGCAGATCGCAAGGTCAGGAGTTTGAGACCAGCCTGACCAACATGACGAAACCCCGTCTCTACTAAAAATACAAAAATTAACTGGGCGTGGTAGTGAGCGCCTGTAATCCCAGCTACTCAGGAGGTTGAGGCAGGAGAATCACTTGAAACTGGGAGGCGGAGGTTGTAGTGAGCCGAGATTGTGCCATTGCACTCCAGCCTGGGTGACAGAGTGAGACTCTATCTCAAAGAAAAAAAAATTGTTCCAAAAATAATAGGTCATAAAATAATGGCAACGACTTTCATTTACATTTGTGGGTGGGAGGTGGGTTGAAAGAATCAGGAAATGTGAGGCCAAAGGTGGTGGCTCATATCTGTAATCCCAGCACTTTGGGAGGCTGAGGTGGAAGGATTGCTTGAGGCCAGGAGTTTGAGACCAGAGTAGGTAACATGAAGAGACCCCCATCTCAACAACAAATAAAATAATTAGCTGGGTGTGATGGTGCACACCTGAAATCCCAGGTACTCAGAAGGCTAAGGAGGGAGGATCCCTTGAGCCCAGGATTTCAAGGCTGCAGTGAGCGATGATGGCACCATTGCATGCCATCTGGGTGACGGAGAGAGACCTTGTCAAAATAAATAAATACATAAAGTAAATAAAATAAAAATAAAAAAACTAGGAAATGTGAACAGGGTAGTAGGGATAAATGTGAGTAAAACTTCTTTTGGTTTAACTTTTTATTGATATGGTTTTGACTCTTAGAACTATGATAATTTTTCACATACCCTCTCACACCTCCCCCAAAATTGTCACATAAATTGAGATGTGGAGAGAAATGAATGTAGAATGCAAAAAGTAAAATTAAGCCTAACTGTATCACAAACAAATTACATAACCATTCTGAGAGAAATGGAGAACAAAAGGACTAACTTAAATGACTTTGGTAAACAGTATCTAGATTTTCATATTGTAAGGCTAAAGACAAAAAGAAAAACAAACCTGTACACAAGTTTTATAATCTAGTTAGCATTTTTTATGGGAATATGAGCAAGCAAATATCAAACTACATTATGCCAATAGGTAAATATATTGTGGATGATGCGGGCCAGATTTCTCACTGCCAGGGAAAGGAGTTATAAATAAGGAAAGAGGAGAGGCTATAGGATTAGTTTAACTAACTAGTGATTTAACTCTACTTAATAAGTACTAAAAATAGATCAATGTCAGTAAGAAAGACATAAGTTGAGTTCTGTTAATAATAGTGTATTATCATATATTAATAATATATTTCACCACATGTTGTTATTGATAGCTTGAAAAAGGACATTGATGGACTGCATATCAAATTTTCTGATGACAGGAAAAAGCATACATAGTACATATGCTAATTGACATATTACTTGATGCTTTTACAACAAAGCTATTGCTAAAGAAAAAATTATTCTGACATTTGTTAAAATAGGAAGAAAGACTTTATTCAGGATTATTCTGATGGGTGTCAAGACTAACACAACAGGTGAAAGAGATCAGGCTCAATTCTGAATACAGTAAAAACAGGTGGAGATTTATAGCCAATGAGAAGAGTGAAGGGGTCAGTGGATGGAAAATTACTAAGAAAAGACACCAAGGGTAGGGGGATCCTTGCTAAAGACAGGGCAGGGTGATCAGATAACCAGGGTGTGGGATGAGGAATTTGACCAAATATTGAGAATAATCACATATCAAGAGTGGCAGGTTTTCTCTAAATTAACTAAAATAGGAATCTTTCTAAAACGAAGCTATGCAGGACTAGCAAGGATAGGAGTCAAGGTGAAGGCCCAGTAGAGAAAAAAGTGCAGAGGAGCCTCACAAATGTTGGGTCAAAGAGAGTCTGTCACTGTTATTGCTCCAAAAGTCTCTAGTATACAGATTTAAATGATAAAAAAATAAAATGGGAAAATTAAAAAAAAATGATTATTTCATTTGTCACATGGAACAAAAACCAAATATGCTCAGATGAAAAATATTTTCTAACAGCTATCATAGATAACAGTAAGTGCTCTTATTCAAAAATATTATTTATATATTGTTCAACATTGGCTGTTAAATAAAGGATCACTGTTAATGATTATAAGTACTAGCAGAGTTCACAGAAATGGGAGATGGGGTGTTTGTACCACAAAAGTCTGTATTGTTCAGGGAGGACGTGAATTGTGTAGGTGGAAATGGGATTGTGGAGAGATCTAGCTCCTGTTTAGGGTCACAACTTTATGCAAGATCCAAGAAAGGATGCAGGTGAATTTAAGACTATAAAATGGATAGTTTTGAAGTTGTTAATAATTTTTACAGTGAACAACTAAAATAGTCAGAGAAATATACTTGTTTCTAACTCAGCTAGGAAAATAAGTACTTTGAGGTATATCATGCTGGCTTACCCTCCCTTTCCTCATAGAAGTGGGTGTAAGAGACATTGGATATAGAGGGGTTTGGTGAGCAATTACTCATAATTTGTGCACACATGCATGCACACACACATAAGCAACTGAGTTTGTCTGACTCAGGTCATTTAATATTATACTGTTCTGCCTATTACCACTAGTTTACTGGCTGCATGTGCTTTTAAATAAAATTTTCCTCCAATTCATAGAAAATCTATAAAAAATGAGGGATTTAAAAAACTCATCTCGGTATAATATAAGCTATTGGAAATTCTTAATTTAAACAAGTGGAGAGATCAATTATCATGTCATTATGTCAAGATACTGCATCAGAAATATTTCATACAAATTTTCCATTGGGTAGCAAATAAATAGATAGTTATAATGGAACTCTAGTTAGTCTATCAGCCAGAGTTCAGTTAATAAAAGAGAAGTTACAAAAATATTTCAGTAAGTAAAACATTTATTATTATTAGATAGCTACAAAACCGTGGGACAGACTTAAGCCTGAAGGTCTGTGAGAGCTGCTTCTAGCTCTCAGATCTGCTGCTAACTTTTAGAAAATCCGAAACTTACAGAAACTACTAGCAATTTGGGAAACTGCTGGCAACAATCCCTCCTGCCTTCTGTACTCAGGTAAGCGATTTCTAGAAAAAGGCTGAAAGATCTTTGCGAAGTACTATGTTCGCCTAGGAACATCTAATTTGTTCAGTTCTGATAAAAGAATGGGTAATGTTTTCATTCTTTCTTCCAGATCTCAGGTAAGAGCTTCTACTTGGTAGAATCTAGTCTAGCACTCTTGAGCACGGCTCTGTAATAGAAGGAAGACGTTAGATGTGGAGAGGTGGTGTCAAAAATAATCTGGGACTATTAAAATATTATATCTTGGGTTCTGAGAAAGGTAAAGATAGTTAAAGTGGAAAAAGAGGCATTGTTATTATATACAGTAATACCGTGGGAACAATTCTAAAGCATTTTTAATAAACTTGGTCACACACACTGGTTACTGTCATAGAATAAATATGAACTACATCACAGTGTATATAATGCTACTAATTAGCCTGGATAATACTTATATTATGTCAACTTTTCAATTACGTCTTGATGATAGAGACTTATCATAAACATTTGTCCATTGCAGTCCCCTAGACTGGTGTCTTAAAAATGGATATTTAACATGTATTTGCTGAGAAATATATACACTTTTATTTAGTTAGAGAAGCTGTGATAAAATATGTCATCCACAAACCTGTCTCCTGTCTTCCTTTCCCTCCCTGTCATTTCTTTTTATATTGCTAAGAGATGTTGCTAAGAGCTGATTTCCACTGAGATTAGGAAGTATACAAGAATATTATGTTGTTTTAATAAACACAAAATTGAAAATCAGACAAATATAGGAAAATACAATTGATTCAAAGAGTTTAAAAAGTATCCTTAAAAATAAAATGCAGAAAGGGAAAAGTGGAAAAAAGGTATCAAGTTATATTCTACAAATAAAAAATGGCAATACCTAAATAATTCTAATAAGAATATTCTCAATTTAGAAAAAAACTTAAAATTTTCTTTTTACCAGTTGAAACAGGTAAAAAGCATTGGAAAAACTTATAAACCCCCAAAATGAACCTATCAAAGTTACCCGTGAATTACCTGGATGTAATCTTAAGAAATATAATGGTTTCAGATAACTTTTACATGGGTCAACAGTGATGTGGCAAACAGAAAATCTCCTGGAGTAAAGGCTGAAGGAAATTCAGCTTACTAAAAGGACATAGAAAGACAAAACATATAAATTTTGCTCTAGGACTTTCTAGCTGTGGCACTATGCACGTGTGTGTGTGTGTGTGGGTGGGTGGGTTTCTTCTCTAGAGTTCCATAATAATTTCTATCTATACTAAAGAGGTATGATTCTGAGTACTTTGCTGAAACTATCCTCATGCCGTGTTAGCGATACTAATCCTTCAGCTCTTCCACTGTTGATGTCCTGGTACAAGATTAGCTGTTTACAGTAAATTTTTCGGTATTAACTGTTTTACTGGAGAAATACACTAATATATGAGATAAGGATGCTTCCATGCAGTTTCAATTTCTTCAAACTACGTTATCTTGGGATAGGTGACAATTTTGAGAAGGAAGAGTAATGTCACAAGCCAAACAAAAATTTTTGCTTTGAAATAACAATTTCTAATAAGTAATTTGATAGAGTATATATGAATACAAGCATATATTTCGGAATTGGACAAAATGTGTCTGAATGTCATCATAAAATACAAGAAAAAATGACTTTTGTTTGCAGTTTTGCTAACTCAAATGTCATATTGTAGACTAGTCTGAGAAGTTCCAATTTCAGTCATCAAAGAGGAAAGACTGTCATCAGTAAAATGATGGTGGTAAGGTGGTAAAGCACCTATGTTTCTGTCCTCTTCTCCACTCAGGACTCATTCAAACTTAGTAAGTAAAACAAGAAATAGAACACAGTAGTGCAGGAGACATCTGCAACCACAAAACAGCATATGTAAGGAAAAGCTGCCAAGTGTGTGAAAATGTGACAAGAGTGTGGCAAGATACCAGGAGGGGACACCATTGGTGCTGTGTTTAGACAAAGCAGCAGTGTGCAGCTCGGCAGATGCAAACTCTTAATCAGAAATAGAAGCGTCCAAAGATATTGTTGGTAGGCATTACCCTGGGGTGTTTCCGGTAATAGAAAAAGGAGAGGAGGCAGGGTACATGGGGAAACAGACATGTCATTATTTTAGAATGTCTACTGTTAGAAAAGCAGTGTGGAGAAGAACAGATGAACTGAAGGCAGCACTGCAGAGGTGACTTCTGTTTTCTGGGAAGAAACAGTCTGAAGGACACATCCACACACAATGGTTTTCCCTGCAATTCCCTGGGAACTCTCAAGGATTCCTGGGAATACTCAGCACTACTATTGTGCTTCTTTCATGCAAACCTCTTATAAACAGTGGTCTCCAAAAGAACTTATCTCTCTCAAAAATGAGAGTATTTTCTAAAAGAAGCCAGCATACGACCTATGCTTTTTTCTTAAAAGAAGAACACAAAAGTAAAAGAATAAAAAACAAATGGCAAACAAAAACTATTGAATAGGATAATACTGTCATGAAGCAGATGAAAAATATGAACAAATATATTTCTGAATTAAAACAAAATCTAATGATTCACTTGCTATTTTTTTTTAAAGAAAAGCTTAAATTAGTAATCAGGAAATATCAGTGAAACAACAGACGGGTTGAAATGAGCTGGCATAGCTCAGGAAAATGAAGAAAAACAAAATCATCACAGAAATTAAAGCCACTTTGAAAATTACACAAAGGAGAATATACTACTGAAAACACAAGAATAAACAAAAGGCACAAATATGAGAAAAATAAAAAATATAAAAAGATAGATAAACAAAGATAAAATGGTTTGGAAGAGACACAAAAAGGAATCAATTTACAGAAAGTCAGCATCCCTGAATAAGAGATCTAAATAACTGAGATAGAAGTGTTCAAATATGTAAAGAATTTATTTTCACAAATATTATTAGCTTTGAAACTAAAAATATAAGGGGCAGATTGTTTCCTAATAAAAATTAGATTTAGACGGCTAAACTAATATAAATCCTAACAAAGTTCCTAGATTTTGAAAATATAGAAACTTTTAGAAATACTGACCAGTCACTTGTTAATAAAAAGAACAAAAATAGTTTGACCTCAAGATTGACCACAGTAAAACTCTATTCTAAAAGACAGCAAATGACTGGCTACAGATTAGCCTGGGAAATAATTTCTGACAAAACAATTTTAGAAGCAGCAAAATTTTAATTTTATTATATATAAAAATGGCATTTTTATTCACAGTAAGGCAGAATCTCATAAGACTTTTTGGAAGAGAGAGGATGAACTGTAAGCAACAAGACATGAAACATGACACTACGACTATGACACATACATGAGCATGAACATTCAATTTATTTAGCCATAGGACCAAGTGGTTAAAATTTGTAAAAGTAGAATGAAAAATGAAAACTTACGAGCAATATGTCACACATTTTTTTAACGTGGTTGCTGCCTTAGTATCCATTTTTAGGCCTTACATAAGTTGTTTCAAACCCATCATTTATATCCCATCATCTTTGGCCTCATTAAAACTTCCTATGTGATTGTTTATGGCACTGTCTATGTTTGTTTTTCACTCCACTGACCCCCAAACCCAACACACCTTTCAGCTGCTGACCATGATGAAACCTAATGGTCCACACCAGAGTGATTTAAATGAGTCCCCTCTTCTTGTGGTTTTCTTTAAGCTAGCCAATCCACAGCCTCAGATACAAAGCCTAAAGGATAATACCTACAAACCTTGATAACGGCATCATCCCACAGGCCCTCTCTTTTTCTCACTCCCCACCCACTGGCTGAGCTCCCTGTCACTTCTGGACTTCCCATAACCTCTCTGGTACCTGTGAGTAATAAATTTCTTGTTTCATGTATTTTGCTTTCACCTCCTCATTGTGTCTCATCTGACACATGCACCTGAACCTCACTTTCCTCTGGTCAGAGCTCTCCTAGAGAGTGGCTATCCTGGCTTATGGCCACATTTCCAGAGAGATCTCAAGACTGAATTAAAAATACAAACAAAAATCACAACATAAAATAACTAAATTTTAATAAGTAGAAGGTAGCATATCTTTTATAATCACATTGTTGGTCAACAAATATAATTTAAAGTTTAGATATTACTAAGATAAAGGTTTAAGTGTATTTATTTGAGCATGTAGTGGCCAAGAAAAGAGGCCAGTCAGTTCTCCTGCTATGGGAAGCAGCTGATGACCTTAGCTGTGGTTGCTCTGTATCCTACATCCATGCCAAGTTCATGCTTCCTGCAGGATTTTCCAGCAAATACCTGAGCACTGTAGAGTAACAGTGCAGGCCCTTTTCCTGCAAAATGTGGGACTCCCTTAAGGAGTGACTGTCCCAAAATTTCCCCTTGCTCTGACTGAAACTTCATTAGAGCTCCTCTGCATTCTAAGACATTTCTTGCCACATCTTCCTTCTCTCATTCACAGGAATTAGACATGACTTGTGATCTAACGGCTCTGTTCACCCCCACTTTTATCTTGCTGCCTCCTCTCTATTCTTCAAAGTTTTTCCCCTCTGATTCTTGCATATTTATCCCATTTAAGCAGCTGCTCCTCAAAAGATCTGAATTAACAATAGAAAAATTATTAACAAATAATAACAATTGCATTTAAATTATGTGGTAGAGGATAGAGTGGGAAATAAATTTGAAGCAATCAGAACGATATTAAATTTGTTCTTGTGCTTAGTGAGAATCCAATAGGTAGTCTAAATAATAGAGTGTAAATGACATTATAACTATTACAACTGAATTTATTATAATTATGTATTTTCTTTAACTGCAGGACACCCACAACGACACAGCACACACACAGGGAAAGTAAAATCAGACTGTAATATACTAGATATAAACCAAATAACCATAAAGAACTAAAGATGTAAAATTAAAATTTGTTTAGTCAGGACTAAAACCATAACACTTGTAATTCAGTAAATGTAAATGAAATAAACTTAGTTACAAAAATAAGACAGAAAGAAAGAGGGAGAAAGTTGAGTAGTTGTATGACCTCTATGTCTGTGATTATTTTACTTTTAGGATTATTATCATTTTTTTGTATATTGATATTATTTTTCATTAATTATTTAGATAATGTTCCATCTATTGTCTTTTCCCATTTTGTGCAAATATCTCTTGTGCACATTCTACCTAAAATCCTCATTATTTTTTTTATGGGTATTTTGAGTATATTTTTTAACTTTGTGAGTAGAATGTAGAGTTTGCTTATTATCCTATTTTCTTAAAGCTATTAAGACTCTGAGCATTTCTTTGAGCAATGCTTTATTTTTATCCCATAAATTTATTATAATATAATATATATTTATTATAATATATATCCCATAGATTTATTATAATATAATATAAAACAATCAATATTTTATATTTAGAATGTACCATATTCTAAAGATAATTTGATTTTTACTTAATATGATTTTTAGTTTTTTTTAAGCCATAAGGGTATTTTATGAACTGAATGTTTGTCTCCCTCCAAATTCACTTGTTAAAATCCTAACCCCCATCGTGGTGGTATTAGGAGGTAGGGCTTTTGGGAAGCAGCTAGGTCATGAAGGTGAGTCCTCATGAATGGGAATTAGTGCTCTTATAAGAAGAGGTGTGAGAGTTTGCCCTCACTCTCTCTGTTCTTCACCCATGTGAGGAAACAATGAAAAGGCCATCTGCAATCCAAGAAGTTGGGCCCTCACTAGACATTGGATATGCTGGCATTTTGATCTTGGACTTCCTAGCCTCAAGAGCTTTGAGAAATAAATTTCTATTGGTTAAGCCACCCAGTCTATGGTTTTTCTGTTATATCAGCCCAAACCATTTATTTCCGCATGTTGTTAGTAAAATTGTATTAAATTGTGATTGGAGGATGTTATATGCACTGCTTTTACATTTCATAATGTCTATATGTTAGCATATGTACAATTTTATTTTGTCAGTGTTACATGAATGCTGGGAAGGAAGGCATAATACTTCAATTAATTCCAAATTATGAATTATGATTTTGGGGGGACTTCCTTGTACTTATTCATCTTTTCTCAGCTTAACATTTTCTAGTCTGAAAGTTGTTTGCACTGTTATTCCCTTCAAATTCTCACCACTCTACATTGATAGGAAGGCAGCAAAAATTTTTTCAATGCTTACAATAAAAAACTATCATATTCTCGGGGGGGGGGCACTAAAATAATGAAATCTGCCATAAACAAGATACGAAGAAGATTACAAACTTGTTTCAGAAAAACCAGATACTTCTTGGACAAAAGGTAGAAACAGCAAATACATGGTTGCTCATCTTACTTCTGCCTTCCAGATGTTACCCAAATATGTCTGATGGCAGATCCTACACCCTATCTAGGACCTATATGGAGGGGAGCTTAAAAACTATAGTTTTAGCTTATAATTTTCTGCAGTCAGTGTAGGAAAACTTGAATAAGGGTGAAAATAATGTTCTGTACCAATTCATTCTGTCTGCCAGAACCACTTTTAGGCATTGTGAAAGTTATAATCAATAAAACTTTCATGCTCTTATCCAGCAAAATGCAACTACTCTGCTATTCTGATATCATGGAAAACAGTTTTATCCTCTTCCAAAAATGGGAACCCCAAGGCCCCAGTGGTCACTACACTCATGTTGGGGAGACAATTATTTCTCTACTAGATCAAGCCTAATTAGACTTTTCTGTATCAATGAAAACAATTATATATACAGTTTAAAAATATACCTTATACAAAATATTAGGAGAAATGCATCTGAGAAGAGGATATTGGAAATGATAGATTAGATAGTGAGCTAGCTAGCTAGCTCGCTAGCTAAACAGATAGATAGATCGAGAGATAGATGATAGATAGATGATAGAAGAACAATCAAGAAGAGATATGTAGCTATTCCAATGTCACTTCTATAATTGTTGATGAAACCATAATTATATTTATTTAATATATTTCTTTCTCCACTACCCCATTCTATGTTCCATTTCACTCAAACACTTGAATTGATCCAAAACTTCATTTCTGTGATGATTGTTAGGTTCTTTACAAGTTCCTGACAACCAGTCGACTCAATAGACACTTCATAGGAACCACTGTGTACCATACCTCTGCTTATCTATTCTCATAGGAAAAGTGGACACCATCATATACAAAACAAATTTCTACCCACTGGGAGAAATTACATCCCTGACTGTATTTAATACATACTCCTTGAGTAAGACGGCAATGTTGCTCTGTCCAATTCTGGGAGGTGTGACCTAAAGTTGACTCCCGCCCTGGACGGCTGGTCACTGTGAAGTTCTGAAGCATCTTTAGATGTGAATCGAGGAACACGTGGTGATGCTGTGGCGCACCACCATAGTTAGCTACCAACTCTAATGGAACAATGTTCTTCCAATAGAAAAGAGTGACTTAATGCTACTTCCACTTGTTGTTTCTACAAAGTAAACTCTCTTGACTCTAATTTAAATCAACCAACCTTCTTATGATGAGTTATTTTTTGTAGGTTCCTTTGCAGTTCTTTTGAATGGCTGGAGCCCTATGGAATACTTTAAGGCCTTTGCTGCATGTTCCTTACAAGGAAATAAAACACTTAGGAATTAAAATTTCCTGTTGAACCAATGATCTCACATAAGCTGGAAAAACATGAATTAATTTTATAAACCCAATATGCCAGGTAAATTAAAAGAATTTTTTTTTAATTTGACCAGATTAGGTTCTACAGCACAATACTTTGAATAAATTTCAGCTTGTACATTGAAGCTATGTCTGAAGTAGCCCGACTTATCATTGTAACAATTACTTCATGAGAATTGGAGTGCCAGGCTGAAAACTCATGGTTTCAGAGATTTTATATTAAAAACATCTCTACAAAAACAATCAAAAAGGTGGCAGTATAGAAATTTATTAACTTACTATTTAATTAATTTAGATTTAGTTTGTCAATAGCAATATTTTATTTGCATAAGAACACTAATAAACAAAATATTACAACAAGCCTATATATGTAATGAATTATTTTCTTGAGTAATTGAATTGAGTGGCTTAGATGTTGATCTATAAAAAGTCAAAGTATCTTTTATTAAAATTTAAATAGCTACAAATTCAAGTGGAAAACATCAAAATATATTTCAAAAATGCATACATTAAATAACATAATAGTAGTAGCCAACACTATATATATGTAAACACTACCTTTCTTTTTGGCATTAAAGTTAATAACCTTTTATAGAAATTAAGAGGAAGTTATTCCAGATGACAGTAAATGGTCTTATAAAATAATGAATGTCTCATTTGTGTATTCAGTGAAATAATTCACTCTCACCAACATAAACTCGAAATTCTTTTATAAATTATTTTTGGCATGATTCAGTTATTAAGTTTCAATATTTTACTAGATCTAAATGAAATAAGTGACTTCCTGACATTTAGAACTTGATATGATACAATCATGTAAAAATGTAAAAGTTTCAAAAAATGATTACGGAAAAAAATAAGTGGATTTTTTTTCCTTTTAATGAATACTGAAAAGTGTGTTGCAAATACCCTAAGTCTTTTCTTAATATGCAAATTTCTCACATAAAACAAGGTTGCTGTCTGTGTAGGCTGGCATGCAATTGCGCCTTTCTTTGGTAGCAGCATCTGCATCCAAGTGCACACTAACACTCTTTTTTCCTTTTTCAATGTCCTCTGGTGCTAATTGAAGATTTTTGTGATGAGCTCTGAATGTGCAGGAAATGCCTAGTAGGAGTCCAGGCATTTGCAAATGGAATTTCTGGCTTGCTTATTATTGACTATCTATGCTTGCATTTGAGCTTTATTTTTACTAAACTTAAATCCCCTCTGTACTGTTTAAGTCATCATTTGCCAGTTTAAAATTGAATATATAGTACATGTAATCTAAAATATGTGATTTTAATGTGTTTTATCACAGACTCGATGGATGGCTCAAAGTTGAAATATAACTAAAACAGAAATCACTAAAAGGTCTATTTCAGGAAAAAGCTTCAATGTCATGACATTTATTTACACGGTAATTTCCATTAGAATCATTAATGTGTTGCACCTTAAATATGTACTCTTCATTATAAAAATAAACCATTCCATTATTATTGAAAGAATGAAATACCTGAATTGAAAGGATCATATTTTTAGAGCTAACAAGTTTTATTTTTCACAACTTTCATAATAAGCTACAATGAGTTGCTAGTAAAACAAAGAGCTCCTACATCATTTAAAAGCAAAAAGAATGTGCTTCTCTGTAAGAGACAGGGTAAGAACAAGGGTTTTACTATTATCAAAGGCACAAGAATGTCATGGCAGAGTAGGAACTGAGACTGGGATGGAAGAAGGCAGGAAAGATAAAAAATGAATCCATGAAAAGTAGAGTAGGTACGTTATGGTTTGTTACATTACTGCAGTTATCAGCTCCTTTCTGGCTTCCCTTCCCACCATTTATCATAAGCAATTTTTACTAAGATAAGGGATGTTATGAGAAATTAGAGTCTTGTATTAATTCCATACAAACTAATCAACCTATTGACAAATCTTCAACGAAACAATCAATAAATTGTTAAATCAGCAATTCAATAATTTGATCTCCTACTGTGGGTAAGGCATTTGTTGACTGTGATAACAAGGCCAGTAAACTGTTACGGCAATGTGCAAAGAAGGATTCTCAACAGTATTATTATAACCCTAGCCTCCCAGAGTGATCACATTGAAAGAGAAGATACATTTGGATTTTTATTTTAATTGTGATAAGAACACTTAACATGAGAACTATTGTTTTAAGTTTTTAAGTATATCATACATATAATATTGCTAACTATAGGCACAATATTTCACAACAGATCTATAGATCTTATTTATTTTGCATAATTGAAACTTTATACTCATTAAACAGCAAAGGAGAATGTCGTTTTTAAGGTCAGTCTTAAAGATAACTGTAAAAGTCATATTGAAAATAACCACACAAGGTCTAAAACCCCCAGAATAATCTTTGCATTCTCCCTTTCTCTCACAGCACTATCTGAAGCCTATTCTATTTCTTAAATTTGTCTTAAAAGTATTACATCTTGTTGATTTTTAGCACAACTTTTCTAGTTCAGGTATTTGTCATTATTTAGTAATCTAGGATAAAATGTCTCTACCCTGATTTCCCTGCTTATAATTCATGTCAAAGCCATACTTTTCACTGCTGACTGAGAGTTCTTTAATTTAGAGAGAGTCAAGTAACTTGCTCCCTTAAAATCCCATTGGCTTTAGAAGAAAATTTCTTCAAATTGTGCTACATTCATATTTTCAGCTTCTCCTATTATTGATCTTATTATAGCTGGAAAAGACTAATCTTCATCAGAGATGTGAAGAAGATTAAAAATTGTAATTTGTGGCCTTCCTTTTGATGTCTAGGTTTTGATGTCTGGATTTATAAAGCCCTAATGCAATGTCTGGCTAATCATGGACTCACACTATAGCTGATCGAAGTGACAGGACAAACAGCTATTAATGTAAAAAAATCCAAGATGGCAGTAAACAAAAAATTCAGATTTCAAAACTCATTTTGTAATTTTGTTAAATGTACCTAAATTCGCATTTGGCTCAGAAATATTTTCTAATACAGAAATATATTTTTTAAACCCTGGATTTAAAATCCTGTGAGATGCAAATAGATTGTCTTTTGTATAAATTAAAAAAGATAAAGGTTTTATGAAATAGACCAAAAAGGATAAAGCATGTTACTAAAATGAGGCCAATCAAAAGACCAGTTAAGTCTCCAAGAAGTATGGCATCTTTTATGAAAATATTCCATGTAGTTTGAAGAGTTATATTACCAAGGGCAGGAGAGTTAGGTGAAAGAAAAAGTACTTTTATAAACAGGAACAAAAACCTCAACATCTCCAAGAACATAAGCCTGAATTTTTAGTGTAATTCTGAAATATCTTCTAACTTTAAAATTTCCTGTGGAAATATTTCTCAAATATATACAAGAATAAGATGTGATTATAAAGTTATATGATAACTTGTTTTGTGAAGCATAAAATGGCATTTGCCATTTGCTACATCCTTATTCAAATGTTTTAAGTAAAGATTATAATTTTGAAATAAGTGAACTTCTTCACAAAATGACGTTTGGAAGACCACTCATTTGAAAGCAGAGGCAGCCTTTTACGTAAGAAAATGTGACAGATAATTCAATGGTACCTACTAGCAACTGCTGCCTTACTCTTATCCCTCAGTCTCCAATGGAAGGTCTAGAAGATGCTTTGGTCTAAGGATACTCAACACTCACCTCCTTCTTTTCCTTCCACAGCCCCTTCTACCCAGAAAGCCTCAGTTGCCCAAGACTTCTCATGACACTTCTTCCTCACCTGAGCCTTTATTTCATCTGTAGCTATCCAAATAGTAGTCACTCAAGGTGTTCCTGCTTCTCATCCACACAACACCACTGAAACACCTATTCCCTGAAGGGTTTTGGAGCCTTTTCTCTGCCTTCTTTCTCCAGAACAGCGCCCCCCGCCCCATCTCCCCATGTGACTTCCCACCTTTGTTCACAGCCTGTAGATTGTCTGCAACCACACATACAACCAAATCCATTCTCATCCCATTCGCAGCAAGAACACTTATGGCAAACCTGAATGAAACAGAAAGAAGGTAGGCTTAGGGAGACAGGGGCTTCTGACAAGTCTCCACAGTTTTCTTGGAAATAAGTTTGGTGACAGAACGGATAGTGTCCTTTTAAAAATTAATTAGTTAATTAACTGATATAGAATTGTTGTACATAATTTGGGGGGTACATGAGATATTTTGATGGGTGTATACAATGTATAATGATCAAATAAGGGCAGTTGGGATATTCATCACTTCAAACATTTATCTTTTCTTTGTGTTGGGAATACTACAAATCTTTTCCTCTAGCTATCTGAAATATACAATAAATCATTGTTAACTACAATTTCCCTACTGTACTATCAAATAGTAGAACTTATTCTATCTGCCTCTCTAATGATTAATTAGAATATAAGAAAATCATATTTGTACCTATAAAATATGTTTTATAGAGTTTTTCTACATTGTGGAATGTTTTGTTCATACTTTTTGTCAAATGCCTAAATGTCTTCTTAAGTATAAAACATTTCTCTCAGACACATCCTTTTCGGGTGATTCTTCTGTCGTTCTCTATTTTATTGGCATATAAATATATATTTCATACTAAAACAAATGGGACTATTTAAGGTTTTAAGTCTTCATATGTGACTGTCATTCTGGAAAAAAAAAGTCAGGACCTTTCCCCCAGAGAAAGCATGGATTATTATAGATTTTATATGTGCTTTATAACTTGTTTAAATGTAAGTTTATAGAGTGGCAGGGATGATAACTATCCTCCAAACTATAGCATTTGTTTCCTGTGGAGAAATACTGCAAGTCTTTAACCATTAAGTTAACAAGAAGAATCAGAATGTCAAATAACACTCCCATGAACCAGTTATTTTACCTAGTATCGAACATTACTGATAAATTTAAAGGCACAGGCACCCAGGGGGCTCATTTCAAGCAAGAAAAGATGTGTAACAACAGGAGTGGCTACCCGGGTCCTTTCTTTCGTCACTGAACAGAATAATAGATATCACCAAATGAGATTTTGTGGATTTATCTGAAACAATGGAGGAGCATTTTGTTTAAAATCCATCTCCATTAGTTTAATTGTATGAGTTTAGTCACTTTCAGGAAGTCATTTTAATTGCATTCACAAAGTCCTCAGCAACAGGACCCTTCTTACATTGCTTAAAAAGTTATCTGGATATGATTATAGCAAAGGAACATGAAGCCAAACTGTAAGAGCACCCAATGGCCAAAACTGGAATAATTTGAGAAGAAAAAAATGTAGTATTGGATTAAGTAATCTGATTATTACTTCATTAAGTAATCAATGTAGTATTAGTGAGAATAAAATAAATGTCCAGTATTTATTTATACTAATATACATAAGTAATTGAATGAATTAATAAATGAGGTATAATAGACAAATCCCTTGTACAGAAATATTCCAAATTAATTATGAAGATATGAAGATATTCCCCCTCAAGTAGGTGAAGCTTAACTCGCCACCCTTTCTGAGTTGTGTTTAAGGACTGCTTCCAAAGAGTATGGTATGGAAATGGAGGAGGGACCATAGAGCAGAAAACCTTGGCAGACACTACCTCAGCTAGGTGGCCAAGGTTAACATGATTAGTGATGTGTCGTGTCACATTGATGGCATGTATCCTTGATATGACATGTTAAGAATGGCAGTTCAACTGTGTAGTCTTTCTCCTCAAAACCTATAACTCCAGTCTAAACATGAGACAAACATGATACAAACACATCTTGAGGAATATTCTACAAAACACCTAACCAATACTCCTAAAAGCTATCAAAGCCATGAAAAACAAAGAAAGTCTAAGGAACTTCGAAGACCAAAGAGGTTAAAGACACACAAAACTAAATGAAATACTGTAACTGGGATGAAATTCCAGAACAGGAAAACTAAAGTAGGGAAAACACTAGTGAAATGCAAATAAACAACGGAGTTTAATTAGTAGTAATGTAACAATGTTGGTTGGTGCGATATTATAGCAAAAGCACTGTTGAATATAACATGTTAACAATAGAAGAATGAGTGTAGGATATACGGAAACATTCTACACAACTTTTGCAACTTTTCTAAAAACCTATAACCACTGTAAATTAAAACTTTAAAAAATTATTAGTATATGCACATGCTTGTGCACACACACACAAAGAGGTATCTGGAATGAAGACACCCAAATGACAATTATAGTTAAGATATTCATGCTTCGAGATATTCATGCTTTACAGTTAAGATATTTATGAGAAGGTTGCGAAAATTTTCTCCCATTTTGTAGGTTGCCTGTTCACTCTGATGGTAGTTTTTTTTGCTGTGCAGAAGCTCTTTAGTTTAATTAGATCCCATTTGTCAATTTTGTCTTTTGTTGCCATTGCTTTTGGTGTTTTAGACATGAAGTCCTTGCCCATGCCTATGTCCTGAATGGTAATGCCTAGGTTTTCTTCTAGGGTTTTTCTGGTTTTAGGTCTAACATTTAAGTCTTTAATCCATCTTGAATTAATTTTTGTATAAGGTGTAAGGAAGGGATCCAGTTTCAGCTTTCTACATATGGCTAGCCAGTTTTGCCAGCAGCATTTATTAAATAGGGAATCCTTTCCCCATTGCTTGTTTTTCTCAGGTTTGTCAAAGATCAGATAGTTGTAGATATGCGGCATTATTTCTGAGGGCTCTGTTCTGTTCCATTGGTCTATAGATCTGTTTTGGTGCCAGTACCATGCTGTTTTTGTTACTGTAGCCTTGTAGTATAGTTTGAAGTCAGGTAGTGTGATGCCTCCAGCTTGGTTCTTTTGGCTTAGGATTGACTTGGCAATGCGGGCTCTTTTTTGGTTCCATATGAACTTTAAAGTAGTTTTTTCCAATTGTAAGAAAGGCATTGGTAGCTTGATGGGGATGACATTGAATCTGTAAATTACCTTGGGCAGTATGGCCATTTTCACGATATTGATTCTTCCTACCCATGAGCATGGAATGTTCTTCCATTTGTTTGTATCCTCTTTTATTTCCTTGAGCAGTGGTTTGTAGTTCTCCTTGAAGAGGTCCTTCACATCCCTCGTAAGTTGGATTCCTAGGTATTTTATTCTCTTTGAAGCAATTATGAATGGGAGTTCACTCATGATTTGTCTCTCTGTTTGTCTGTTGTTGGTGTATAAGAATGCTTGTGATTTTTGTACATTGATTTTGTATCCTGAGACTTTGCTGAAGTTGCTTATCAGCTTAAGGAGATTTTGGGCTGAGACAATGGGGTTTTCTGGATATACAATCATGTCATCTGCAAACAGGGACAATTTGACTTCCTCTTTTCCTAAGTGAATACACTTTATTTCCTTCTCCTGCCTTATTGCCCTGGCCAGAACTTCCAACACTATGTTGAATAGGAGTAGTGAGAGAGGGCATCCCTGTCTTGTGCCAGTTTTCAAAGGGAATGCTTCCAGTTTTTGCCCATTCAGTATGATATTGGCTGTGGGTTTGTCATAGATAGCTCTTATTATTTTGAAATACTTCCCAAAAATTTTCACAACCTACTCATCTGACAAAGGGCTAATACCCAGAATCTACAATGAATTCAAACAAATTTACAAGAAAAAAACAAACAACCCCATCAAAAAGTGGGCAAAGGACATGAACAGACACTTCTCAAAAGAAGACATTTATGCAGCCAAAAAACACATGAAAAAATGCTCATCATCACTGGCCATCAGAGAAATGCAAATCAAAACCACAATTGGATACCATCTCACACCAGTTAGAATGGCAATCATTAAAAAGTCAGGAAACAACAGGCGCTGGAGAGGATGTGGAGAAATAGGAACACTTTTACACTGTTGGTGGGACTGTAAACTAGTTCAACCACTGTGGAAGTCAGTGTGGCGACTCCTCAGGGATCTAGAATTGGAAATACCATTTGACCCAGCCATGCCATTACTGGGTATATACCCAAAGGACTATAAATCATGCTGCTATAAAGACACATGCACACGTATATTTATTGCGGCATTATTCACAATAGCAAAGACTTGGAACCAACCCAAATGTCCAACAATCATAGACTGGATTAAGAAAATGTGGCACATATACACCATGGAATACTATGCAGCCATAAAAAATGATGAGTTCATGTCCTTTGTAGGGACATGGATGAAATTGGAAATCATCATTCTCAGTAAACTATCGCAAGAACAAAAAACCAAACACCGCATATTCTCACTCATAGGTGGGAATTGAACAGTGAGATCACATGAACACAGGAAGGGGAATATCACACTCTGGGGACTGTTGTGGGGTGGGGGGAGGGGGGAGGGATAGCATCGGGAGATATACCTAATGCTAGATGACGAGTTAGTGGGTGCAGCGCACCAGCATGGCACATGTATACATATGTAACTAACCTGCACAATGTGCATATGTACCCTAAAACTTAAAGTATAATAAAAAAAAGATATTTATGAGAAACAGCCCTAAATAACCTTCTTGCCAAATCTGAACTTCCTTATGTGTACTCTGCATTGCACTGATGTATCATTAAGTTCTATTAATTATCTACTTCCACTCTCAAAACAAAAGCAATCTGTTAGTATGTTGACTCCTAGGAGATAGGCAGGTATGACACAAAAGAAACAACATGAAAAGGAATTGGATAAACATGCCCAGAGAAAGTGATCTCTAGTATTGCCAATTTTCATTGTTAACCTCTGTGCATCTAGTTAAATTTCATCAGCTAATAGAACTCAATCTTGATATTGGGTTGATCTTGAAAAGCCCATCTCAAAACCCAAATGCTCAAATTTATGCTCAAATTTATGAACATAAATTTGCTTATGAGCATTTATTTTATGTTCAAATTTATGAACATAGGACTCTTTGAATAAGCCCTTAATCACATTTCAGTCCAGAGCTATTTCTTTCTCTGTGTGGTCTCACAGCACAAGATATTTGCATTTCCACTTATACTAATTTTTTTTTATTCATCTAATGGTCATTTCTCACAAAGATAAATATTTGCTACAATTTCATGAGTGATATTATGCATGTGTAGAAATCAGCAAAGCTACACAGAGGCAGATGATAAAAAGATCTGCCAGGCTTACCCTCTAGCTAAACAATATGATTCAACAAGCTACCCCCACAGGAATCTTAATTCAAATATACTTCTCAGCAAAATTGCAAATGTCTTTATGGCACGTTCTTTGAGGGTCTTCCAACTACTAGTTGAAACTAAAACATTAATCTGAAAAGACAAAGTTATACTGTCTTTTGTAACTAGAATTTTGTTTGTTTGTTTAGAGAATAGCTTGGAAGAAAGTTCCTAACCTTAATGTATTCTAACAGTATTGGCTTTCTCTTTTCTGGCTTTATTATTATACTTAAGAACTATTTTATAATTAAAAGTATCCCACATGTTCACTTTTCAGGTACCTGAGAGGAGTTTCTCTTTTCCTGGGTGTGTAGTGGGATAAGGAAATGGAAGGAGACAGTCAGGAGAGCTCTCATATTAATCATGTGTAGAGTTGCATGTAATAAATGTGTGCTTCTTGACATGGGTACACATTTATGCTGGATGGCTCTTCTGGTTTCTACATTTACTTGGCAGGACAACACAAGGATAACACAGTGAAGCTAGTTCTATTTTAGTATCATTTTAACACAACGTAGTTTACAAATTAAAACTTAGGAGAACAAAAATACATTTTCTATAGCACATTTTTAGTTCTCATCTTAACTGATCTATAATAATATTCCATAAGTTTGAACTCTCTGTTTCCTAAACACATAAAAATGTTTATATACCACTAAGCATCAGCCCTGCCATTTTGTTTTCATTCCCTTGTGCTTGCATTCATATTATTTTTCAATCTGCATTTACAGGAATCTTCTGCCCACTTGCCAATTTATTGAAGTAACTCAGCATTTGCTCAGAATTGCCTGTAATGTGCAGTTAATTATAAAATGGTAAATATACCATTGAATATCTGCTTATACTTTAGAGAAAATGAAACTAACTGATTCCCACATTTATAATATTGTTCCCCTCTCATTTGCTTGGACAGCTATTTTTAATATTATCAAATAAAATGGATAAAATTATCAGAAAACATTATAACCCAGTTTATATTGCCTTTTATTATGACCTTTCTTCATCAAAAAAATGTGTAGATACCCTATCGAAACATGACACTATCCAGTGTTACATTTAAAAATAAAGGTTTTCTTTTATTTTTTTTCTTGTTATGTGTATGATAGAGTATGACTAAAATGTAAGGCTTTACAATCTCTAAGGAATGTTTATATGTATTTTCTTAGTAATACACTTTATACAGATTTTGTTCCCATTATGAGAAAGCATGAAATAAATACATCTATTGCTACTGACTTGATTTGGATGCTCAGCATCTCCCACCACAGCTATTTCAATAATCCTCTAACAGTTCTCACTCTCTTCAAATACATTCTCTAGCTTTCTGCCAAAGTGTGATTTCTGTTACACCAGTCTCATAATATAACTGCACTCTTTAATCTCTTAACCTTAGATGGGTAAAGTCCATTTGCCTGATTATGGTAGAAAAGACTCTTCCATGAATGAGGGTTTAATTATTTGTCTAGACAATGACACACTTTAAGCTGCAACTACACCAAAATCTTGATAGTTTTTGAATGTGTTAGAAACTTCCATATCTCCACATTGATTCCTTGGCAATGAGTTTTCCTCTGCCTTACTCAGGGACTACTTTCTGCCTGCTTCTATAACATGTGTCCATTTGTTAATCTACTCATATTTCCAGATTTAGTATATACTATGTGCATATTTATTTTGTCAGGCAAATCATTACAGACAAAAAAATCAGGAGAATAAATACTTCGACCTAACTCATCCTTTGACTATGGTTTCCAGTTAGAATCGATGGGAAAGACTGATCAAAGCCTACTGGAAAGTGGAAGTCCTGAGAATGTGTTGATAGAATGCAGACAAGAGTATGGTGGAGAAGCATGGAAAAATCTAGAAAGTCAAACAGAATATTTCTAGCACAATAAAATTTATGTCCCTGTACTTGATTGGAATTTGAATTTTAAAGCAAGCATGGTAAATTTTACCACATTGTTGTAAAATCTACCAATGTACATTGAGACATTTTAAGCATAAGGTCTAATTTCTTTTTTTTTTCTTAACAGTAAAAATAAAGGAAAATAACATAAACATGATTTTTGTAATTAATGTTTAAATAAGGAAAAAAGAATTAGCTTTTAGAAAACCAAAAATATAAGGCTTTAATTAAGATATAGCATATTCTTTCTACAGAAGTCTCAATAAATAAGAAAAATTTCTGGAGCTGTAGTTAATTTTAATATTCTTTTTGAGTCCTAGTATTTCAATTGTATGTTTTCTGTCTTGGTTTCTTGTATAAATCTGTATTTATTATAATCATTATTCATTTAAGCCAAGCAAGATTTACTACTTGGAATTAAAAATTCCAATCTCGGGGCTGGGCGCAGTGGCTCACACCTGTAATCCCAGCACTTAGGGAGGCCTAGGCAGGTGGATCAACCTGAGGTCAGGAGTTCAAGGCCAGCCTGACCAACATGATGAAACCTTGTCTCTACTAAAAATACAAAAATTAGCCGGGTGTGGTGGCACATGCCTGTAATCCAAGCTACTAGGGAGGCTGAGGCAGGAGAATCGCTTGAATCCAGGAGGCGGAGGATGCAGTGATCCGAGATAGCGCCATTGCACTCCAGACTGGGCAACAAGATTGAGATTCCATCTCAAAAAAAAAAAAAAAAAAAAAAAAGGAAAAGAAAAATTCCAATATTGGACAAAATTAAAGCCAGGAAAAGAGAAGTAGATGGATATTAGATGGATATTGGATAAGCAACTGATTGAGTGACCTGTGATCATTAGGTACTTAAAAATATTCCCAGTGTCTCTTATTTTACTTAGAACTAAAATTGAAAAAAATATATATAGGCTGGGTGTGGCGGCTCAATCCTGTAATCTCAGCACTATGGGAAGCCAAGGCCTGAGGTCAGGAATTCAAGACAAGCCTGGCTAAACATAGCGAAACCCTGTCTTTACTAAAAATATAAAAATTAGCCAGGCATGGTGGCTCACGCCTGTAATCCCAGCTACTAGGGAGGCTGAGGCAGGAGAATAGCTTGAACTCAGGAGGCGGAGGTTACAGTGAGCAGAGATCTCACCACTGCACTCCAGCCTGGGCAACAAGAGCGAAACTCCGTCTCAAAAAAACAAAAAAAAATATATTAATATGACTTCATTTGCAACAAAAACTGTAGTTTATTCAGTACCCCAAATTGGGTTACAGTAATGAAGATATAACAAGAGTAACTAGATATCTAGTAGTTATTGATATAAAAAGATGCCTGTAAGTTACTCAAAACTAGTGCCTCACACTTCCTCACTTTATTGGTTGACACATTTACTATATTTCATCTGCTGCAATATCACTTAATTTTCATTAAATATTAGTTTCTGAGTTCCACTGATGTTATGTAATGGCGTAAGCCCATAACTTTTGCTGATTAGAACTAAAAATGTTAGACAAAATGCAAAAACAGCTACCTGGGAACATGGAAAGAAAACAGAAGCAAGCAGACTATGGAAAGATGTCAAAACAGAGATGTGACCGGAATGGAGGTGAGCATCTCCGTTTTCTTTTTTCTCTCAAGACTAGTCCCCAAGTGAGGGGTTAGGGGAATAGAAAAAGAGCAGTATGGACACATGGAGAATGAAACTTCAAGAGAAATCCATGTTTTATTTTCACTCCCATGCTTTATTGTCTCCTGTGGTCTGTAGAATATAGCTGGATTCCATTAGAGGAAGAGCCAGGGAAAGAGCCAGGGAATTATATGCATATAATTCCATGCATATGCACCCACAACAATCTCAGCCTTATCGTAAAGTATTTATACCTAAGTCAGATTCAAATCAGCATAGCAGAAGCTTAGAGAGCTAAGCTGAGGTTTAAATCATTGTACACAGAAGGCAAATCGGAAATTATAATCTCAACATGGCCAGCTTGGTTTTCTGATAATATAAAAACTTCAACATTCTTCAAAGTGTATAGCAGGACTCAGAGACTACATGATATTTACAGTATCCAGATACAATTTAAAATTATCAAAGCTACAAAGTACTAGAAAAGTGTAACAACTTCTTATGGGAAAATATGATCAACAGATACCAACCCCGAGATGAGGGTGATGTTGAAACTATCAGACAGAAACTTTAAATCGGTTATAAAACTATGTTTTATAGGGTAAATCGGAGCATACTGAAATGTCTGAAACATAGGAACTTTCAGGAAAATATAATAAAGAACCAAGTACAAAATTTAAATTGAAACGTACTACGTCTGGAATAAAACCTCAATGAATGGGTTTAACAGCAAATTATAAATGACAGAAAATAGGTAAATTTTGTGAAAGCAAATATTCAGATTCTTCAGGAACAGAGCCTGAAGAATCTGTAGAATAAAATAAAAATATCAAACATGCATAATTAGAGTTCCAGAAGAGACAATAGAGGTTGAGGCACAAAAGATATATGAATAAATAACAAGCACCAATGTCTCAAACTTGGGAAACACAGAAATTGATAGATCCAAGAAATTCAGTAAATCTAAGCAGGAAAGCTTAAGGAAAACTGTGCCTTTTAGATGCTTCATAATCAAGTTGGTTTAAAAAAAAAGACTTAAAAAAAAAGCTCTGAATGCAGCTAAAGAATACTAGACATTGTTTACAGAGGAGCAATTACTTTTTCAAATGACTATGAGTTTCTTATCACAAACCATAGAGGCCTGAAGATGGAGGAACAGCTTTTTATAGTATTGAAAGAAAATAACTGATTCAAAAAAATGACCAAATATATCCTTCAGGAATTAAAAAAAAACCCTACATTTTTAGATTAAAGAAAGTGTAGAAAATTGATCCTTAGGAGACTTAGACTTATAAGAAATATTAAATGAAGTTGTTTAGGCTGAAGAAAAATGGTACCATGAGAAACTTGTTTCTTTAGAATGAAGGAAATGCAATGGAAAGGTAAATATCAGGGTAGATGTAAAAAACATTTTTACCTGAGTTTTAAAATATGTTGAATATTAAAATGAAATGTTCTGGTGTGATTTTCAATTGATAGAAATATAACATATGTAAAAACATAATGTAAAAATCAGTCAAGTATTAATCCATAGGTTTGCAAGTTTCTGCATTTTACATCTAGTGGACCATAAAAGTTTAAGTATACATTTATTGATCCACAGAGCAACCACTAAAAAAAGTGCAATGAGATATAGCATGAAAGCCAATAGATTAATTAAAAACATACCAAAATCCATTTATATAGTACAAAAGAAGCAGAAAGATTGGAAACAGAGAGACAAAAACAGAGAGGACAAACAGAACATAAATAACAAAATGGTAGATCTAAATTCAAATACGTGAAACATTATATTAAGTAGTAATAACCTCAACATTCCAATAAAAGGCAAACCATAAAAAAATTTAAACTAACATCTTACTATGAGATAACTATAAGAGTTGAAATTAAATGGGCAGAAATAAATATAAAATGCAAAGAGGAAGCAAAAAAAGGCTATAATAGCTGTTTTATTATCTGTTACAACAGAATTTGAGACAAGAGCACTCCTCAGAAATAAACAGGAGCTGTTTTCTATAATAAAAGGAAAAAAGTCATCAGAAATATATGCAATATTTACTGACCATGTGCCTAATGATAGAGTCTCAATGCATGTTAAACAAAAACAGACAAAATTAAAGGGAAATCCAGACCGGTCCACAATAATGGCAAGGGATTTTAATATTTCTGTCTTGGCAATTGATGGAACAACTAGACAAAAAAAATCACTAAGAATATAGACAATCTGAAGAACACTACAAACACTACAAACCACTTTGATCTACAGCCAGGAATTTCACAATATGAGCTCTTCTCAAGTGCAAATGGAACATTCACCAAGATAGACCATATGCTGGTTAATAAAACAAATATTAAATTTAAAAGGACTCACTTCTCACAATTCAATTAAAGTAGAAATTAATAAAAATTAAGAGATACAAATAGAAAATAAAAAGTAGATATCAAAAAATATTTTGAGAAAGATAAAATATCCAGGATTTAAATACTATACTTCTAAATAATTCAGAGATCAAATATGAAATCACAATGTAAATTGAAATCATAATGAAAATGCAACATTTCAAAATTTGTAGAATGTAACTAAAGTGGAAAACTTATACTGTTAAATGCTTATAACAGAAATAGAAGAATAAAAGTATCAATGACCTAGGTTTACTTTAAGAACTAGATTCAAAAAGGAACAATGCAAAGTCAAAGTAAGTACAAGAAAGAAAATTATAAAAATATAGAGCAAAAATGAAGGAAATAAAAAAGCAGTCAAAGGAGAAAATTAGCGGAGAAGATTGGCTGATTCTCTAAAAAGATCGACAAAATTTACAAATCCTTAACTATGAATCATCAATATCAGGAATGGAAAAGGGATTATTATGACAGACCCTTCAGTAATTAAATGAATAATAAGATAATATTTTGAAAAACTGAATGTCAATTAATTTAACACATTAGAAAGAATGGAAAGTTTCTTGAAAAATGCAACAAAACAAAAAAGACACAATAAGAAACCAAAAATTAAGTAGCCATATATGCATTTTTGAAACATGAACTTGTTATTAAAAAATTTCACGAAAGGAAAATAGGCCCATATGGTTCTCTGGAGAATTCCATCAAACATTCAAGGAATAAATTAGACAAATGCTGCACTAAATACACTGAGAATACTATACATTGTAAAGAGAGGAATACAATGAGAAATAGATAATACATATATGCATATTTCTAATATGCACACAGTAGAAAATATAGGAAGGATTATTTCCCAACTCATTTTATGAGGCCTACAGAAACTGAATATGAAAACCTAACAAAAGCATTATAAAAAGGGAAATTAAGAGTAATATCACTCATGAATAATCTTTAACAAAGTATTCATAACACAGAGTCAGGGGAAGAACCTGAACTCAGAACATATTAATAACTCTTGTGGGCCTGGAGCGGTGGCTCAGGCCTGTAATCCCAGCACTTTGGGAGGCCGAGGCAGGTGGATTATGAAGTCAGGAGATCGAGAGCATCCTGGCCAACATGATGAAACCCGGTTTCTACTAAAAAAAAAAAAAAAAAAAAAAAAAAAAAATTGCTGGGTGTGGTGGCGCATCCCTGTAGTCCCAGCTACTCAGGAGGCAAAGGCAGGATAATTGCTTGAACCAGGGAGTCGGAAGTTGCAGTGAGCCGAGATTGCGCCAAAGCACTCCAGGCTGGTGAAAGATCGAGACTCCATTTCAAAAAATACAAAATAAAAATAAATAACTCTTGTGACTCAATCACACAAAAAATAGTTATAATGTAAATGTAAATTAAACCACAAATTGAGGTAACACTACGTATTGATTAGATGGGTAAAAATAAGATAATTGGTCAAATCAAGTGTTCACAAGGCTGTTGTGCAACTGAAACTCATACTTTGCAAGAGGGAATTTAAAATGGTGCCACCTATGAGAACAATCTGGAATTTTCTTTAAAAGTTAAGCACACACATATCAAGTAATACAGCCCCTCAATTCCTAGGTATTTACTCAAAAGGAATGAAAATGTATGTCTACAGGAAGAATTGTATATGGATTTTCTTAGCAACATTATCCGTAACTTAAAACTAAAGAAAACTCATATAATTGTGGTATATTAATGTAATAAAATATTACTCAGTAATGAAGGTAAATGAACTACTGTTATAGTAATATAGATAAATATCAAAATTATTTTGCCAAGTTAAATAAGTTAGGTAGAAATAAAGTGCACATCGTATGATCATGGTATGATTTTTATTGTATGACACTGGAGAAAATGTGATCTAATGTATAGTGACGAAAACAACATTACTTGCTATCTGTAAATGGGGGTAAGGGAGACATGAAATGCAGAAGGACACAGAGAAATACTAGAGGGCTGGTGAACATGTTCGTTGTCTTGATTTTGGTGGTTTTATAGGTATACACATACATTATAAAAATGATCAAATTGTACACTTTACATATGTACACTTTATTGTACTGCACTTGTACCTCAATAAATGTGGGAAATATTGAAGAGAGAGAGATGGATAGATAGATGATAGATAGATAGATAGATAGATAGATAGATAGATAGAAAGATAGATAGATAGACAGATAGATATTTTGTGGTGAATATTAAACATTAAATGAGACATCATCTTTTTCCATGGAGCTTTTAGTTTCATAGGTAGGGAAGACAATATGTTTACCAAGAATCATAAAAAAGCACATTCAAATAAGTATTCTAGGAAAGTGCAGGAAAAAAAATAGCTGATTAACAATGTGCAAAAATCACAAGCATTCCTAAACACTAATAACAGACAAACAGAGAGCCAAATCATGAGTGAACTCTCATTCACAATTGCTACAAAGAGAATAAAATACCTATGGGCCAGGCGCGGTGGCTCACACCTGTAATCCGAGTACTTTGGGAGGCCCAAGCATGTGGATCCAAGATCAGGAGACTGAGATCATCCTGGCCAACATGGTGAAACCTTGTCTCTACTAAAAATATAAAAATTAGCCAGGCGTGGTGGCGCGTGCCTATAATCCCAGCTACTTGGGAGGCTGAGGCAGGAGAATCACTTGGACCTGGGGGGCAGAGGTTGCAGTGAGCCAAGATCGCATCATTGCACTGCAGCCTGGGCAACAAGAGTGAAACACCATCTCAAAAAAAAAAAAAAACCTAGTAATACAACTTACAAGGAATGTGAAGGACCTCTTCAAGGAGAACTGCAAACCACTGCTCAAGGAAATAAGAGAGGACACAACAAATGGAAACACATTCCATGTTCATGGGTAGGAAGAATCAATATCATGAAAATGGCCACACTGCCCAAAGTAATTTATAGATTCAGTGCTATCACCATCAATTTACCATTGACTTTCTTCACAGAATTGGAAAAAAACAACTTTAAACTTTACATGGAACCAACAAAGGGCCCACATATCCAAGACAATCCTAACCAAAAAGAGCAAAGCTGGAAGCAACATGCTACGTGACTTCAGACTATACTACAAGGCTACAGTAAACAAAACAGCATGGTACTAGTACCAAAACAGATCTATAGACCAATGGAACAGAACAGAGGCCTCAGAAATAACACCACACATCTAAAACCTTCTGATCTTTGACAAACCTGACAAAAACAAGCAATGGGGAAAGGATTCCCTATTTAATAAATGGTGTTGGGAAAATTGGTTAGCCATATGCAGAAAACTGAAACTGGACCCCTTCCTTACACCTTATACAAAAATCAACTAGAGATAGATTAAAGACTTAAACGGAAGACCTAAAACCATAAAAATTCTAGAAGAAAACCTGGGCAATACCATTCAGGACATAGGAATGGGCAAAGACTTCATGCGTAAAACACCAAAAGCAATGGCAACAAAAGCCAAAATGGACAATTGGGATCTACTTAAACTAAAGAGCTTTTGCACAACAAAAGAAACTGTCATCAGGGTAAACAGGCAACTTACAGAATCAGAGAAAATTTTTGCAATCTATCCATATGACAAAGGACTAATATCCAGAATCTACAAATAACTTAAATAAATTTACAAGAAAAAAAACCCCCATCAGAAAGTGGGCAAAGGATATGAACAGACACTTCTCAAAAGAAGACATTTATGCAGCCAACAAACATACGAAAAAATGCTCATCATCACTGGTCATTACAGAAATGCAAATCAAAACCGCAATGAGATACAATCTCATGCCAGTTAGAATGGTGATCATTAAAATGTCAGGAAACAAGAGATGCTGGAGAGGATGTGGAGGAATAGGAATGCTTTTACACTGTTGGTGGGAGTGTAAATTAGTTCAACCATTGTGGAAGACAGTGTGGTGGTTCCTCAAGGATCTAAAACTAGAAATACCATTTGACCCAGCAATCCCATTACTGGGTATATACCCAAAGGATTATAAATCATTCTACTATAAAGACACATGCACATATATGATTATTGCGGCACTATTCACAATAGCAAAGACGTGGAACCAACCCAAATGTCCATCAGTGATAAACTGGATTAAGAAAATGTGGCACATATTACACCATGGAATACTATGCAGCCATAAAAAAGATGAGTTCATGTCCTTTGGAGAGACATGGATGAAGCTAGAAACCATCATTCTCAGTAAACTAACACAGGAACAGAAAACCACACACCACATGTTCTCACTCATAAATGGGAGTTAAATAATGAGAACACATGGACACAGGTAGGGGGATGTCATACACTGGAGCCTGTTGCGGGGTGGGGGACTAGGGGAGGGATAGCATTAGGAGAAATACCTAATGTAGGTGACAGGTTGATGGGTGCAGCAAACCACCATGGCATGTGTATACCTATGGAACAAAACTGCATGTTCTGCACATGTACCCCAGAAGTTAAAGTATAATAAAAAGAAATAGCTGATTAAAAGTTGAATAGTTTCAGGCAGCTAAGAGACATATGAGCTTTGCCTCAATTTGTGGGTAGAATTTTGGCAGGCAGATTTTGCAAAGGGGAGTTGAGCATGAATAGAAGAGAGGCCAAAAGCAAAGCTGTGATGTAATGGATAGATGTGTGATGGCATTGTAAGTAGTCCTTTATAACCTGAGCATGGCATACTTGTATGTTCATTATGGGGAGTAGATTATATGTGACAAATATTTATTTAAAAAAATACTCTGACTTAATTTGTTTGGCAATAAATGCCTCCTACTATTTCCACTCAGGGTTGTGTTGTTAAATATATAGTGGTAAGACAATGCTACATGCAAACATTTAGAAGTGTTAAAGAGATCATTGCAATGGTGGAAATACAAAAGAGAGAATAGATATAAGACATAAATGTGTCTTAAACTAATTTTAGGAATCATTTAGATGTCAGGCTAGAGAGAGTTCATTTGAAAAGGAAAAGAAAAGTAAAAGAAAACTTAAAAATTTAATCTTGAATGACCTAGAAAATGGTAATGCTGTTGATAGAATCAGGGCTTTAAATGAAAATATCTGGTGTGGTGGAGAGAGTTGTTTGAAGCAGGTGGAGTGGGAAAGAAGTGCTGATATTTCATCTGCATAGACAGCTCAATAGAAGTTTGAGGGAAAAGCCAGAGCACGGGTCTTGCTTTGGGTGTAATCTACATACAAGTCTCATTTCAATGTGACTGAACATGGGGAATAGTGATAAAGGTGAGTTTTGTATTTTCGATTTCAGTATACTCCTAAGTACAAGCAAAATGATAAAATGAGAACTTTAGAAAAAGCCCCTCACATGTTTCAACTAATTTGACTGAAAACAAAGCACTATATTACAGGGTAGTTCTGGTTGCTTTGCTTCACAGTTTCTCTCTGGAATAACTTCAACACCTACGTTCAGATTTGTGTGATGATACAACAATGTGGGGAATGTAATAGTAAACCTTTATCAGTCAGTGTGGCACACTATTGGGTTGGGGATTGTTGATGGCAACAAAAACTATGGGGTGTTGAATCAGAGCAAAAATCCTACAATTCCATTCTCAACATCACTATGTAAAGGACATAAAATGTTGGCTCTGTTGAAATATCTACAAGAAACTAAAATACACAACCATCTCTTCATCATATCTAGGTCATTTCAAAGTTAACCTAAGCAGGAAAAGAGAGTTTAAAGAAAACTTATGTAAATCCTTTCCCTATCTGATCCCACACTGAGCAGAGGCTTACCAGCTAAAGGGTACTTCTGTTCCTCTAGCATTCTTCACAGTAGCACAGAGATTGATGGGACAGAATACGTCTACTGAACTACAGCACTTACAGATAATGCCTCACTCAGCATAGAAACTCTCTGCAAAAATTGAACAATATATCCCTGTATGAATGTGCTTACCACCTTTGAAAGTATACTTTTGATGGAGTTTATATCAAAGAGATTTAAACGAAGGCTGAGGACTTTTTAAAATATGGTATAATATCCTGAAAAATATGTCATTTTTGTCTATTCCTTACCTAAGTCTCTATAATTGTTACAGGAGGAAAGATGGTTGAGGTGGAAATATATAAGAAAGTGATCTAGATGGCTGTATTTTAAAACAACAAAAGCACCTTAATATTCTTCACGTCATTATGTTTCCATTAAGGCCTTGAGGGTCTAGTAAAGATAGCTACAGCTATCTGCAACTCCCAGTCCATAGCACAGCCTGCAAGGACTTGAAATCACTAAGATTTTTTAATGCTGCAATTTAATCTTCACTATCCTAGACATCATCGCTATTCAAAGAGGAGCTTTAAACTCCAAGACAATTTTCCAACTTATGAAATGAATATGTTATATAAAGACTGATTCACTTATTTCTAAAACCACATTATCTCTTTCAAGCAGCTCAATTGCAAAGTGGTCTGGGCAGGAATGTTGCTCTACCTTGACAAAATGTGTTATACATTGTAGGGACAATCCTTCTTAATTTTTAAAAATAAACATTGTACACAAGTATATTAATCATATGCTCCTCTAATAACCAGTAATGTATAAATGGTTAAGAAGATAAATTGGGAAGTTTTCTTTTGTAATTCTCTTGGCACTGTGAAATTAAAGTATTAAACGTGAGTCATCAGTGCAAAGAACAAATGCCACAGAGCCCAGAGTCTGTGGCACTGCATGGCTTTGGCAAACACCTACGTCTTTGTAGGTCTCCATTTTCTTATTTGTCTGGTAAAGTGGTGGCTTAGAGAATGCCTAAGAGCATTTTCAATCATAACATTTACGAACTCCTCAATCCTAAATCACATTATGTGATAATGTATAGAATTGGGTAAATAGAATAAGTCAGCTATACTGATGTTAAAGAACAGAATTTTCATGAATAAATAAAATGTGGCATATCCATAAAAATTATATATAAGAAAATTTAAAAAGCAAAAATCACCATCAGTTGATTATCAGACATAATAATCACTTTTCACACTCTTGATTATATCCTCCCCAGACAAAAAATAGAATTTGTTCATTTTAATGAACTTTGATACATGGAGTAGATATAGTATCGCCAGCCCTAAGATGAATTGCACAACCTACAATTCCTCTCTCTGAGCTGTTAAAACTTACTTCCTCACCTGAAATAGAGAATTAGGCTAATTCTTTATTTTATTTTTAATTCACACATAATAATTGTACATATTTATGGGATGCAGTGTGATGTTTCAATACATGTATATACGGTGTAATGATAAAATCAGGGTAATTCTTCCTATATATGTGTAATTTTGTACCCCTTGACCAATCTCTCCCCATATTCCCTATCTATCCTTCCTCTCCAGTTTCTGGTAACCACTATTCTACTGTTTACTTCTATGAGATTGGCTTTTTAAAGTTTTGCAAATGAGCGATATCATGTGATATTTGTCTTTGTGTGCTTGGCTTATTTCACTAAGTATGTCTTCAGGCTTCATCCATGTTTTTGCAAATGGCAGGATTTCATTCTTTTTCATGGCTGAATAGTATTTCATTGTGTGTGTGTGTATATATATATATTACAACGTGTGTATATATATACGCAATGTATTATATATATATAATGTTTTCTTTATTCATTTTCCAATGATAGATACTTAAATTGATTCCATATCTTGGCTATTGTGAATAAGTGCTGCACAAAACATGGTAGTGCAGACACCTCTTCAAAATACTGATTTTATTTCCTTTGGATACACACCCAGTAGTGGAAGTGATGGATCATATGGTAGTTCTATTTTGAATTTTTTGAGGAACTGCTATACTGTTTTATATAATAGCTATACTAATTTACATTCCAGCAATGTATAAGAGTTCCCATTTCTCCACATCCATTGCCAGCATTTGTTATTTTTTGTCTTTTTGATAATAGTCATTGTGGCAAGTGTAGGAATAATGACCGATTTTTATTTCCCTGATGATTAGGGATGTCGAACTTTTTTTATATACTTATTGGCCATCTGTACATCTTCTGGGCTGCTTCTTTAAATCTTCTTTGAAGAAACCTGTTGCTTCTTTCAGAAAGGTTCATATACTTCCCTAGAAATGAAAAGGATCTAGGAACAAGTGTAAATGAATGGAATATAGAAATTCTACGAGTTTATCTTTTTATAGCTAAAGTTGAGTCCTAGATTACTTTCTAAAGTTTCTGAGATAAGACCACAGCTTCATTTTTGGTGATTTCCCCGAACGACAACCAAAGAGACAATGTAACCCTGTGGTTAACACTGTAGATTTTTTTGGTAAAACAAGCTTGACACTCTTACTTTATATCATGTAAAGTATTTCTTATGTAATAACTATTACACTCTCCCCAACTTGCAGAAATGTTAGAAATCATAATTTTGTGGTTGTGGCACAAAATTAGGAGAGAAAATGTCCTATCTTTGATATTGGTATATAAGCATACCAGCAAATCAAGGTCATCAGAGTAATTTTGTATGGAAGGCAGCAGCAGGGTGACAGGGCAAAAAGACCAGGGTGGATGAAGAATAGGCAGCAGTTTATATATGTGGAATGGATATAAAGTGGAATTCTAGGCCACTTTAAAAAGTTGTTCATAATGAGATATGTATGGTTGCAATTTCATTTTTATTCATCGTCTAGGGGAGGTGAAATACATATCTTACAAAAGTTGCAAATATGGAGAACAATTTATTGATGATGAATCCATAAAGTCTTCATAGACTGAATGATTGTAAGAGCTTGGACTAGACCCATCAATAGTGAAACGGCCTTGCTAGGGAAGTAGAAGGCTGTCCATCACTAAATGTGTATAGTTTGGGGAATGAAGAAAGTCAAGTATTTCATGACTTTTGTGAGTTGGTGTAGACCACTTGTAAAATCTCTTAAAAATTTTGGACTCTATTTCTAGGTTCATCTTTTTCTGCAATTCTTGGGAAAATATTCTAAAATGGATATTGGTGATAATTAGCAGTAGTATAAACAAGCTGTTTCAATAACACATTATCATAGCTAGCACTCAATTATGCCAAATTATTTCCATCTGAATGATTCAAGCATATTATCTGGTGTGCCAATTATATAGTAGCTTGTAGAACTTAAAAAAATTGTAGTTTTGATTTTACAACCTTTTCTTTCTTTTTGCTTTAAAAATAATAATCAGAACACATATCATATGTTATATGTATTTATAAAGGCATTTAGAGCAGTTCTCTAAAGTGGAAACATACATACATAGAGAGAGATTGAATATTTAAAATGCCGTGGTGGCTGGGCGAGATGGCTCATACCTGGAATCCCAGCACTTTGGGAGGCCAAGGCAGGAAGACCACTTGAGGTCAGGAGTTTGAGACCAGCCTGGCCAACATGGTGAAAACCTGTCTCTACCAAAAAATACAAAAAATAACCGGGCATGGTAGCATGCACTTGTAGTCTCAGCTACTCAAGAAGCTGAGGCATGAGAATTGCTTGAACCTGAGAGGTGGAGGTTGCAGTGAGCTGAGATTGCACCACTTCACTCCAGCCTGGATGACAGAGAGGGACCCTGTGTCAAAAAAAAAAGAAGAATCCATACATTTTAAGCAATTTCTTTTTATGTACACATTCTGTCTCTGTGAAATAGATTTTACAATTTAGCTAAGTTCAAAAGTATATTCAGCCAAATTCTAATAATTTATAAAATAGTTCATTCTATTGGATTGAATATCTCCTATATTCTTTAGCGTAAACACAATACTGCAAGAACAATGTATGTATTACATTTCAAACTGCTTTCTTCATTTAAAAAACCTTGAAAAATATCTTAAGAAATATAGATATTAGCAAATATTAAACAATATATTTATGAAAACTGTGTGGAAATATATATCTATGCATATATATGTGTTTGTGCATACACATGTATTTGTATGTGTATGTGTTTTCAACCTCTCACAGTTAACTCTTTGGTGTTAATTGTAAGATTACTCTATCATCATACTGTATATACGTGCAAATTTTGGATATGCCTTATCGCCAGTACATTAAAACATCTGTTCATTCACTTCTACACTGAGCATTATCACTCATTCTAATCTAAGAATCTGGTAGGCAAAAAGATAACTCACTTTAAATTTGCATTTGTTTTCACTACAAACAAATATACTTCCTGACAATTGATGTGTCAAATATATTTACTGACCATTGGTGTTTCATATTGTATGACTTGCCTGATTACGTACTTTGTCTATATTTCCAGTAGGTTGTTCAACTTTTTCTTACAGTTTTTCAACATTTTTGTGTATATATGAGAAAGTTTGTATTTTATAATTTATGATTTTGTTCCATATGTCTATCTGATTGTTTGATAACATTTTTGAATTAAACCATCTTTTCCACATTGATTTATAAATGACATTTTATTCAAATAATAAATTCCCATAAGTCATTTGATCCATATCTATTATTTATTTGCAGTTTATAGTTAGGACCAGTTTTGCTACTTATTTGCTTGGAGATTTATTGATTTGTATTGATTTGTATTAAAAATTGCCACTTTTTCAGATATAAATCACATGAAATATTAAGGTGATCATCTAAACAATTTGACTCAAAATTTATCTTGAAGTATTCACACAGTTGAAGGGAAAAGTAGACCTGAAATCCAGATACCACTTACCTGTAAAATATGTTATTCAAATTTTCACATATAGGTTTGGAACTCTTTTCATTATCAATTATGAAAACAAATTACAATAATAACTCTAATCTCTGTCCAAATTTTAGACACATCAACAATTCTATTTTTACAAACCCTAAAATTCAAAATATATTTTGGAAATGATGAAGATGATTATGATATTTTTGAAGGCTGACTTTGTGATCAAATATCTGTCAGTGTAAAGAAAACAAGATAACCTTAAAAGAACTTTTATCAAAAGTGCCTTTCTGTGCCCAGAAGAATAAATCTTGAAAGTAATATGGAACCTTTCAAAGAGCTGACAGAATCAAAATGTACACTGAGATTTGGACAGGAGAACTAGTATTTCTACTTACCATAAAATGTTGAAATCAATAATTAAATTCTAAGTTTAAAATGATTACAATCTCTGTGAAATTTAATATAACGTTTAAAGTTTTGTTACAGTTTTTATCGTGTGCCATATATATGTCTGTATCTACATTTGTTAATTAAAGGGGAAGCTAAAGAGTTGAATTAATTACATGAATAGTTTCAAATAAAAAAATTATCAACTGTGCTGCATTTATCTATCATCTTCTTATGAAAATAAACCCAGATGTTCTTTGCATATATAAATATTTATAACATATATTAAAATCTCTAGAATTTCATTTATGACTTTAGTTTGTTGAAACAAACCAGGTGATATGAAAGAACTAAAAGTTTTTCTTTTTCAGTTGATACATACATAGTAGACAGTCTCTGAAGAAACTTAAAAGCTATTAAATAGGGAATATATTTTATTGGGGTTAGGGGACAGAGTAATTCTGAGGACAATGAGAAGAATTTGGAACAAGAAAAGCAATTAAATGTAATTTAATTTTAGTACAACAATTTTTAGTACAACAGCATGCTGGGTGGGGTGTTTAGATGCAAAAGAATCCTCTGCAATTCCATGATAAGGTGTGAATGGTTATTTCTCTTTAACTTAGGTCTAATTTAGGACCAAAGAGAATATTTCAGTTGAAGTGAGTGTTGGCTGGGTAAAATGTTGTTAAAAACAGAGACATTCAAGATAACTGAGGAAAACAATGTTTTAATTCAACTTTCGAGAAACTGAATTTCTTTTTCAGAGAACAACTTTAAGTTTGAAAAATTTATTTTTCCCCAAATTAGAAAGTTTTCCTTAAGCTCATTTCTCTATTTTGAAAAATAGCGCAAAATTAATTAATTCAATGTATTATGAAACACACACAAAACCATAGGATAAATGATTGAAAATTATTTTTTAAAGAAAACAGAAAAACATTTTGACAGAACAAAACTAAACATGTATATTCTAGCAGCAAACAAAATTTGACTAGCATAGCTATTTAAAGAAAAATTAATCTTAAATTGATTAAGTAAATACAAGTTATTAACTATTTTCTATAAGAGTTCCTAACAAAAAAGCTCAGACAACTTCTAAAAAAATGGGCAAGGACATCCCAAGCAAGTGAAAACAATGAGAAAACAGGGTCATGAATTTAATATCAAGCAGGTCCAGAATCAACAGTAAAGCATCCACAAAGCAAAAAATTAAATTTTACAATGGCATACTATATAATCCACAGTGAAGAACTAATATCTCTGTACCCAAAACAGAGCATAAACATTTTTAACACAAAAATTACAGGAAATACAAAGAGAAATAGCAATACAATAGAAATGCAAAGAGAAAAAGCAATGCATATTGCTATTGCTTGAATGATGCTTGCAATATCATACAAGCAATAGGTTTCTAGTTATCTCTGTTTTATAACAGGTCAAGTGGATACAAAATATTTAGAGATGGAAAAATTAACATAAATTATGAATATATCTAGTTGATACATATTTAAAATATAAAATGAAAGAAAACTACATTTTATTTTAAACTGCCTATTCTATATACAACATAATCGTAAAACTGACCATAAATTAAGCCACGAGAAAAGCCACTATAAATAATGAGGTGTATCCACCAATATTATATCATACAGAATAGTTTAACTGACCTAAGAATCACCTTTCCTTCACCTATTCATCACTTATACACTGACTACAAAGCAAACTAAAAATAATGCATATAAAACATTATAATCATAAATCAACAAAATTGGGAATAATCTATCACTTTCTGTCAAAATTTAAGGTGGCTACACACATTGGCACAGTTTTTTCATCAAGATGTGGAATAATGAGTGGATCATTCTTATACTAAAAAATATTTTTGATTTATCTGAAATTCAAATTTAACTGGGTGTCTAGTTTCTTGTTTTTGCTAAATCTAGTAAACTCAGTTATCTGAATTTTTTTCTCCCTCTGAGTCTGTTCTATGATATTTCTCAATTCTCATAGCACAAGGAATGTCATCAAGCCAATAAAGTTTCCAAAAATGCTCTCACACAAATTGTTGCTCTTAAATTAGTAATATACGATAATATGTCTGTCTCCTAATAACAGAATTTATAACATCATGTTGAGCTTTCACTGGTCAAAAATTGCAAGTTTTAAAGCAGCATGCGTCTTACATTTTTTGAGGTATTATATAAATGTAATATTATTCACCCATAAAAAAGAATGAAATGGATGCAGGATTTTCTTCCTGATCACTTTGCAAGCCTGGGACCTCTGGCCAGTGACACCCAGCCTAGGCCTCGCTCAGCCATGCTACCTGCTGCAGGAGACAGCCAGCCCATTAGTCCCAGCTTGGCTGAGTCTGGCTTGTGCACCAGCACCTGAGTTCTTGTCCCATGCCGAAGAAAAATAAGGATATGCTGACAATCTAAAAGTGAGCAAGTTGCGGAGTTTATTGAGTAAAGTTCTCACTCTGGGTTGCAGGTTTAATCTGTGACCAGCAGTCTGCTCTGCCAGCCTTCAAGCGTTTTTTTGGCTTGAAGATGGGGTTTTGTCAGGAACCTGTTCCTAACTACCTAGGCATTTAGCTGCCTCCTGTCCTACTTCCCCCCTCTGAAGAGGTACATCTAACTGCCATTAGTTTAGGGATGAAGACCAATCTTAACTGCTTCCTGCTGACAGGGGGCACTGCTTTGGAAAAATGGCAGTCAGATCTCCCTCAAAGGCCTGTCTAAGGGTCCCCAGTAAAAGGGAGCCATTGTTTGAGGCTCCAGTTGCATGACCGTTTGGCATTTGATGGCATGAAGGTGAGAAGAGACAAACTGGGTTTGGTACATGAAGACATGTATCAAAATGCAACAAGGCAGCAAGGAAAGATTTAAAATGCTGGGGCTGCTGACATGCTCAGATAACTGTTATGTCTGCTAAGAATTATGTGCATGAGGCTTGGCTTTTGTCAGTTTCTTTGGTTTTATTTTCCCATAAAAAGAAACCTCTGGGTTATGGACACCCCATTTACTTCAATCGCCTGGCAGGTTTTGCAGGATAATTGCTCAGAATTAGAATATTGATCTAGATTTTTACATTACCCCTCCCTTTTGTTTCCTTCGAGCTGCAGCTTGAGATTCCTGGTTGGTTTACAGAAATAAGTAGGTTTAGTCTAAAATGTAGGCAAAAACTTAAAAACAACTAACTTAAAAACAATGACAACTGTACACATTTTGAAACATAATTATTCTTTCTCCAGTTCTCATTTTTGTCAAAAACAAATCATGATTAGACAGTGTTGTTTGCAAAATAAATTTTAGACTTATACTTGTCCTGCTCATTCTCATAATGTGCAGCAAAAACAATGATTTTTCACATAGGCTTTTTAAATTGGCTTTGATGGAACTCTGTTCTACAAGGAATCTCAGATGAGACCTTTTAAAACCAAGCCCAGCCATGGGTTTGTGCCCCCAAACACATATGAGTTGGGCAAATTACTCTCTTTCTGAGATTCCCAAGATAACATGGTGTTCCTGGGGCTGTAAGAAAGTGACATTCTTTACTCACCACAAGTTAAGAAACCTGTACAATGACTGTGTAGCCAAAGTATGAAGCCAGTTTTCCCAAGGGACTTTCATTGGCTCTGCAAGTCAAGACTGATTCTTTAAAGGGGAGCAGACCCTTCCAGTCAAAGCCTTGGTAAAACAACAAGTCTCCAATGTGTCCTGTTGCAGAAGAAAATGGATTCTTATTGCACTGATTCAAATAACTATATTGCCATAAGTTAAGAATACTCACAAATACCTTCCAAATTCTAGATAAACCAGGCACAGAGAAACAAACATGCTCCAAATTTTGTTCACAGGTGTATACATTACTCAATTGTTAAATGCTGTAGAAAGCTCAAAAGGAAAGTTCCACTGACTCTGGAAAACAAAAAAAGGATCAGCAATGTTTTAAGCAGAGTTACAAAAGATTACTTCAGTTTTCTGTTGTTCACACCATTCAGTTAACTCTTGTTCTACTAGATATTTATGGGCATTTCAGCTCTTCATAAGTCCTATACATTTTTCCTTTATTCCAATGTCATAATCTTTAAAGATATCAGACACCTGCATTTAAAAGTACCTGTCAAAGTCCTATAGCTGATTATAAACCATGTTTGGAAAAGAATCAATGCAAGGCAATAATTGTCTGTGAATGACAAAATGTCCAGGGTAGTTACCATCAAAAAAATAAAAGTTGACAAAGAAATTTGATTATTTCTGTGGTTTACAATAACTTAACATGATAACCTTAATTATGATCGATAGCATATACTCAGACATTAAAATTTTAGAAATCCCATACAGTTTGGGAACATAAATTGATATTACTCACTAGAATATAACCTGAAGAAGATTAAGCTTTACTTTTGTTTTAGCAATCCCATGTAACTAAACACGTCAAATAATCCTGTTCACCTCTCTTTTGAATGTTCCAGGGGCCCTGTATAGCATCCAAAATTTGGGGGTCAGAAAAGACCATTTTTGAAGGGGAAGTTTGATTTTGGGAAGCCTGTTACATATATTATAGGTTTAAAACACTTGATATTATGAAATAGAATACCAGATTACCATAAGTCATTTATTTAGCCAAAATAATGACTCAAAAAAATTTTAAAGGCAAAAACCTTTACCCATTATGTGGGAAGACTTAGCTTTCCAAACATCTTCACCCATTTTTAGTAGTTTATATAAAAAGCAAACAAAAATATTTCATTGTCCTTTATTATTACGTGGAAATCTTGTTTTAGGGAGGAAAAGCCAAATTTCACCCTTGCGTTAGTCTACTGTTAATGTCAACCCCAATTTTTTAAATGAAACCTTATAGATAATTCTATCCAATCTGACCAGTTTGACTATGGGGTGAGATTCCTGTAATCTTTTATAAACTTCAGAAATTTTTGTTAAAGAACAGATCAGTGCCGTAAGAAAAACTTGTAGTGCTTTTATTTCAATGCTCAGTTTATGGAAAAACCATATAACACCCTTTTGAATTTAGTCAGTATGTTCACACACAGAATTTCTTTTGCAAGATTAAATTTGACAAAGCTTCCACAACTTGCTTAAACCTTCAGCTTTATCTTATCCAATTTAAAACAATCCTTTAACCTTCTAAATTAGGCAAAATTTTATTCCCATGCCTTCTTATAATGTTTTAGTAAAAACACATCTCACTTTCCTTACACAACTTTCTTGTAAATCTATTTTCATGCAACTCAACTTCTTCAGATTCAATTACATGTTATAATGGTAACTCTTAGCGATTTTCATTTTTATTGTAAAACCTGATAAGTTATTGTAGTTATGTCCTATGTGTAGCTAAGATTTGACTCCTTCTAGCACAGTTAGGGGCATGGTTAATTCTCTATGTCCCCAGGCCTTACCAAACTGTAAAGCAGGTGGGTTGAACAATTTTCAAAAGCCAAAGAAGCAGTTTGCAACCTTAAAGCATTTAGAGAACGTAGTATTTGAGATGCATAATTTAGACTACAGATTTAAATTTTGAAGACATTTGTATTTTACCAATAATCTTTAAAACTGTTTTTATTTCTCAAAGATTAAAGTCACATGAACTGCAAGGCATTACAGCTTTTATTTTTTCTTCTACAATATTTAATCTAAGTGATTATTTTTCTCTAAGCCAACTAATTAGAGATCTTTTTTATGTAAACATCACACACATAATATATATAAAACTACACAGACAGAAGAAGATTCAGTAGTTGTAAGATTTTCTCATTTGGCAATCATCTACCTGCATTACTGGCCTCATGGTGGAGACCTTCACAAAACAGGTTATCCAAACATGCAGTTTCTAGGGCCTGATAAGCAGATATAGCTGGAAGACACAAACAAAATCTGAGAGGGATCTATCTGCTTTTAATTCCTGGGTTTCCATAAGGAAAACAGAGGATTTTTCCCAAAACGAGCTCTGTGGCATCTTCTGTTTTTCTTAAGGAGTCCCATGCTCTCGGAAGTTATCTTAGGACCTCTCACACATGCATCAAGAGTGTCGAGTGAAAATGAAGAGAAGTAATTAAGTTGACTGAAAAAAAAAAAAAAAACTTTCCAGCAAAACAAGGTCCAAGAAAAGAAAAACATAAAGGCCTTTTAAATATACCTATAACTTAGATATCCACTTTTAATTGTGCTGACTTTAACCATACTGCTCTTTAAGAAAATCCTTTTAAATCCCTTACTACCTGACCTTAGCCATGCCAAGTGGCTGATATTTCTGGCTTTTGAACTGGATCAAAAGTAACCTTACAGGGGAAACCAACAATCCTCAACTAAGGTTATGACTTAACCACAAGTGTGTGAGGTATTTCCGAAGATGTGGTAAGCAGTTTTTACAAAACCTGGAATCTTTATAGGTAGCTCAGAAAAAGAAGGATTTAAGAACAGAAGCTAGAAGTTGTTCATGGAGGGAAAGAGAACCAGCAAATGATATTAACCAGAAAGTACTCATCCCCTAAGCCAGGCTTGAACCCTGACTGCCATTGTAAAATGGCAGAGACCAAAACAAAGTACTACCATGTTACACGGTTAAGCTCCCAAGAACATGAAACAAGATGGACACCTGCAGCAAAGTTCGTTACTGACTAGTTTGCTGGACTGGCTTGACCAGCAGGCTTATGCAGTCCTAGAACCACATTTTATCCTAAGGTATTCCTCTTTCTGTTAGAAGGATACAGAAGGATAGATTCTTAGCAAAAGTACAACAGATTCACTACAGCTTCAGACTAGCCTCACAAATCCATTGTTTCCATTAATCAAAACGTTACAGAGGATACAAACTGATTTTTATAATTTATTTTACCAGGTTGCACAGAGAGAGGGAGGGCAGGAGTCTTGACTGGTAAAAACTCAAAACAAAAACAAAACAAACAAACAAACAAAACACATTTACCTTTTTGCCAGCATGTCAGACTTATGGGTTTCCCTCCCCTGAGCTATGGAGCCCTATCTACCCTGGAGTCTTGTGAAGGGGAAGCAGACAAATAGGTTATTTGCATAGTGTAAAAGTTGTCCCTTCTCAATAAATTTGCTCATTTAGATCTAAAATTTCTTCCCAGTTCATTTTTAAGCCAAACAATTTAATGTTTGGGGAAATTAAACTTCTCCCAGTTCTGAGGATGCATCCGAGGGAAGCGTGCTGTGGTATGGGGATACAATTACCCATTTATGAAAAGAGGATAGAGGAGGAAACAGAAAAAGAAGGTGTTTTTTTTTCAAAGGAGTTCCAGTGATTCAAGATGCCTTCAAGAGAATTACAGACTGAAGATGGCTGGTTACCCATCTGGAAAGAGGGGAAAAAGGCATCCCTTAGCTTCTTTCTCTTCCCAGTGAATATCTGGGGTACACGAGAGAGAAAGAAAATGCATTTTCTTTCTTTCTTCCCTCTTTATATCCCAGAGGCCTGGTGACCTCGGCTGGTTGCTGTCAATGGGTGTCAATGTGGCCTTCATCCATGTGAAACAGGGAGGTCTAGAGGGTCTAGAGGGTCTAGAGGGTAGGAATTATCCCCATTCACCTATACATTGCCTATCCTCCCCGCTATTGGTAGTCTCATGTGTGCCATGGATGCTAGCATGACCTCTGTCCATGAAATGGTGTTGGGGTGGTAATCAGCAAGAATTAGTCATGCTCATCTGCACTGTGCCCCTTGACTTCCATGGTCATCTGTCTCTGGATCCCTCAGATCCAGTTTTTTCTTTTCTTTTTTTTTTTCCTAAGGCTTCAATCCAAAGCTTGGAATTGAGTTTGGGACAAAGGGGTACCTCAGAAAGGTGCAAGGACTCATTAAGTTAGGGAGTCTAGTGAACTGGTGAACTGGGGGTCCTGGCCTAATAAGATGCCTTTCAAAAGGAAATTAAAAAAAAACAAAAACAAACTCTTGCATAGAAAAGCTCCCTGTGTTCACATGGCTATGTTAACTCCTCACATGTGGAGAAAAGAAAATAAAACAGCTTAAGTGCAGGGCAGGGAAAATGCCTGAGGGAAAATGCCTCCTCTTACTTTATGCAAATGGGTTCCTCCAACAGGAGAAAAACTCTTAATCACTGTACCCTCCATGCCAGATGGAAACCGTATTGTTCTGAATTGCATTATCTGATGGTTGGGCTGAATGCTCATTCTACCCAGAAATATCTCTGCTGTTTGCAGCAATACCTTTAACATTATTAAAAAAAGAGATAGGAGCCATTTCAAACCATGAAAGACGTAAGGAAACATGTCATAGAAAAGACTGAGGGTCTTGGTTGATGCCCTAACGGGCGGTGGGGATGGAACCAGTTCAGGGACCTTCTGGCAACACCACCGTGTGGCCTCAGCCAGATCCCATCAGTTGCCCCAGGGTCTTATTCTGGTCTCACACAATGGCTAGACCTCCATGAAGGGAAACAAAGCCAACATTCCTTTCATCAGAGAGAGACAGAGAGAGAGAGAGAGAGAGAGAGAGAGAGAGAGAGATAGCAGGGTCACACCCCATCCTCTATAGTTGTGCATTCTTTTTCAATTGGCTAGTCAGAGATTTGGTGCTTCATCTGCCTTCAATAGAAAATCTGAGGGCAAGAAGTGTCAGGAAAAAGTGCCCCCCTCAGGTATCCTGGGCAAGACCCTAAAATGACACAGGATTTTTTCTTGGTCACTTTGCAAGCTGGAGACCTCCGGCCAGTGTCCCCCATGTGGGACTTACTCAGCCACACTGCATGCTGCAGGAGACGGCCTGCACTCTTGGCCATCATGGGCTGAGTCTGGCTTGCTCACGGGTTCCCGAGTTCTTGTTCCATGCCCAAGAAGTATAAAGATGTGCTGAAAATCAAAAAGTGAGCAAAGTGGGGAATTTTATTGAGTGATAAAACAGCTTTTAGCAGAGATGGGATGTGGAAATGGTCCCCCTACCCGAAAGTGGGAGAGTCCCCTCAATGTGGCTGAGTCTTGGGCTTTTATGAGCTCAGAATGGGGGAGGGGCAGGCTGTAGGTAGTATTGGAAAAGGCAACATTTGATTGTTCAAAAGGTTTTTTTCAGAAAGTATCAATCCGGAAAGGGTGGGCAAACAGGAATAGAAGTTCTCTGTCTGGGTTGCAGGTTTCATCTAGGACCAGAAGTCTGGTCTGTCAGCCTTCAGGCTGTTTTTGGGCTTGAAGGTGGGATTTCACCAAGGACCCACCCTTATCTGCCTAGTCATTTGGCTACCTCTTGTCAATGTCAAAATCTTGTATTTTATAGCAACATGGATGGAACTGTAGGCAATTATCTTAAGTAAAACAACTCAGAAACTGAAACTCTTTAATCTTAAAAGTTAGACAATAGATATGTAGAAACTGAAATTTGGGAATGACATCAGAACAAGAGAAAACAAGACATTCAAAAGTAGAGAAATGTTAACCTGTATAGGTGCCCGGTGTTAGTCTGGAAGAGCATAGGTGCAGTGTTCATGTGGTGAAAAATGATGCTGGAAAGACAGCCTGGGAGCAGAAATTTAGCTTTTACTTTTTGGGCAATCAGGTGATTTTAAAAATTTTTAATTGGACACCTATATGATCAGATTATATCAATATAATGTTTCCTCCATTGTTACTTAATAATAAATACTCTTTATTGCTACACAATATTTTTAATTTTAAATGCAATGGCTGCTTGTATTTCACCCAATGGGTTATTAATGTGTCTATTTTTAAAACCTATAATTGATATTGACTTTTCCATGTTTGTATTTTAGTGTAATAATTTTTTAAGTATTTATATTTTTTGTTCACAGATGTGAAAACTATTTTTTGTTTGTATAAATTTAAGAAATACAAGTGCAGTTTTCTTACATCGATATATTGCATAGTGGTAAAGTCTGGGCTTGTAGTTATCAATGTCACTTGAATAGTGTACATTGTATCTATCAAATAATTTATCATCCTTGACCCTCCCTCCACCCTCCCAACGCTCTCAGTCATTGATGTCTATTATTCCACACTCTATTTCCACGTGTACATATTATTTAACTCCCACTTACAAGTGAGAACATATGGTATTTGTGTACTACTGTGTAGAGGATTAGGAAAGGCAAAACAGCCATTTTCTTTGAATTTGTCAAGCTTAGCCCAGTAAAAAGAGAGGCAAAAGAATGTAAGTTTTATTGGAAGTTAGGTGGGCATTCGGGAGGAGGGGTTCTTGCAATGAGTCTAACTTAGAGGGTTTCCAAAAAGAACAATGGAAGGGAAAATATGTCTCCTCCACAGAGACAATGGGAAAAGAGAGAGGGAGGAGAATATAATGAGAAAAGAAATCTGGTGTAGCTGGAAAGTAGACAAAGGGGAGAATGGCACTTGGAATTTTGGTAATTTCATGAAATAAAGTGCAATTGATTTACTGGAATATAAAATATTAGAGTTGGAAACAGGCTAAGTTCAAAGTAAAACTAAAAATGATTTTCAATGCTCATGTTTTAGAGATGAAAAAACTAAAATACAGAGATCTCATGAGATATTAGTGCAATCCAATCTGAAACATTTTGGAAGTGCTAACATGAATTATTTTTGGATGGATAATATGGTTGCCTGTATCATTTTTTGGATGATTTTTAGAATTGCTCTGTGCTACATCACTACTGAATTCTTTGAAAATGAAAATAAAGTGTCATAGCAATGCTTTTACATTATGACTCATTCTTTCATTTTAATAACAATTTACATAAATGTCTATATTTAATTCCCAACATATTGAAACACACAAGGTCAACTAGAATAATTCTTAATTGAATGATTTATATTAGGGAAGAATTCAGTGGAAAAACTAAATGAATAATTTAGTGCTAAACCATGAAATAATTTATTTCAAAAGTCAAAACAATAGAAAATTACAATACCATTGACATTATTAACTAAAATAATTTGATATTACAAATATTATGTCTTAATTAGTCACTTGTTTTATGTTTGTATTAATGATGAGTGTGTAGCAGAGAAATAAAACAGGAAAGGAACAAAAGAGTCGAATAAATAGAGAAGGGCTGCAATCATATATGGGGTCATCAGTGGAGGCCCAAAGGTTATATTTTAGCACAGGCTGGTGATTTGTCTTCTATGCACTCTTGAGATTAAATTAAAGCTGGGCAAGGTTTACAATGGTGACCCTTGTTAGCAAGTGATTGAAATACTATGGCAAGAGAAGATGATGATTTCCTTCAGGATTATAGTGCAGGTGGTACCTTTCCTCAGAATTGTATATGACACATACATACATATATGAGAATGTTAATATTTTAATGCATCTAACCTGGCATGTATAAAAATCTAATTATATATAATTCAGTTTGATTCCCCTCCCCCAAATATCCTATGACTTTTAACAATTTGTCACAAGTATAGAAAGTGACAAGCATACTGCAGTCCATCTCTCTTTATGAAAGCTCGATAGGTATTTTTCTCATCATTTTGTTCCATTTCAGGCATTTCTTTTTTCTGCCACACTTATTTTTGTTTCACTTCTAGATAAAATAGCTGTATGTTTTTAAAAGTATATGCCATTGAAAATCACAATTATTTTCTTAAAAAGATAAGCCTTGAGGTTCGTGTTTCTTGATACTTGCTCTGAAGAATGTCATTATTCATGATCAAAATGCAATCAATGATCTGTTCTGTTTTCATGTAACTATTTTGCCCCATTCTTTTTTTCCTGTGACAGTGCTCTGGCCCTTGTATATTTGTCTTATCATATTATTTTTCATGTTGTTTTTAATTGAATTATTACATGTGCATAATTTAAGGAGTCTATTATTCTTATGAACTTGAAGATCAAGAGCACTCCCTAGCACCCATCTTGACCCTGCCTTGCTGCTTTCCCAGTAAGAATATTCACAATTCTCTCAGCTCATTTTTTTTGATATTCAGTAACAGGACTCTAAATACCATGTTTGTAGGGCTATTTTTTTTTCTTTTCAAGTTTTAGGCATTATTTATGGATTTCTTGTTATAGAACATAAGAATTTATCTCTTGTTCTTCTCCCCAGTTCAGGTATCCCAATTCTGAAATCCTTATCCTTGCCATTGTGTTTTAATTGTATAATTGCCGCTAGATCAGCGTTTGGTATTTACAGTATTGTTACTGTGTAATTGATATTCACAACTAGGCCATGTAATATTTATTTGCTCTGTTAGATTTTTGTGGATTATTTAGGATTTTCTACATATACTATCATGTTATATTTGTGAACAGAGATAATTTCACATCTATTCCAGATTGGATGCCCTTTCTTTTTCTAGTCTGCTTACTATAGCCAGTAAATTCTATGAAATTCCGGGAAAATGATGAATATATGTGGAGAGGATGGACATCTTTGTCTTATTCATCATCTTAGGGGAAATCATTCCAAGTTGAACCTTTGAGTATTATGTTAGTTGTGGGTTTTTTTATACATTCCCTTTATCAGGTTCTGGAAATTCCCTGTGTTCTTTGTTTGTTGAGTGTTTTTCCATGAAAACATGTCAAACATATTTTTTTACATCAGTTGAGGTGACCATGTGTTTTCCCCTTTATTCTATTAATATGATGTATCACATTTATTGATTTGTATTTATTTGGCCTCTGTTGCATTTCTGGAATAAATCCCACTTGGTCATAGTGTATAATCTAATATGCTGATAGATTCAGTTTGCTAGTCCTTTGCTGAGGATTTTTATACCTATATTCTTCTACAATGTAGGCCTTTTGTTTTCTTTTCTTGTAATTTCCTTGGCTTTGGAATCAAAGTAATACTGGCTTATAACTGTTAGGAATGAGTTAGGAAGTATCCTTTCCTATTTGGTTTTTTGGAAGTATTTGTTTGGTATAATTCACCAATGAAACCATCTGGTCCTGGGTTTTTCTTTGTTAAAGTTTTAAATTCACTGACTTAATCTCTTTATTTGTTATAGTTCTTTTGAGATTTCCTATTTCTTCTTGAGTTAATAATGACATATTTCATGTTTCTAAGAATTTGACCATTTCATCTATGTTGCCTATCTTTTGGTATAAAATCTCTCATAATAATCTCTTATTTTTTTCTTATTTCTGTATGGTCGGTAGTATTGTCTCCACTTTATGATTTGAACAGTTTGAGTCTTCTCTCCCTCTCCCCTTTTTTTAGTCACTTTAGCTAAAAGATTTGTGAATCTTGTTGATTTTGTCAAATAAATATTTTTTTTCTTAAATCTCTTTCTTTTTCTTGTATTTTCTGTTTTATGTCTTAACATCTTCACTCTAATTGTGATTATTTCTGTCCTGCTAGCCTTGAGTTTACTTTGCCCTTTTTTAAAAACTATTTATTCAAGGTGCAGGTTAAGTTATTTAATTGAGATCTTCTTTTTAATATAGGCATTTACAGCCATAAATATTTCTCTGAGTACCACATATCCTACATCCCATAAATCTGGTTTGTTTTGAGGTTTTTTATCTCTAAACATTTTCTAGTTTCTTTTGCGATTTGTTATTTCACCCACTAGTTGTTTAAACTGTGTTGTTTAATTTCTGAATATTTAAGAATTTTCCAGTTTTCCTTCTGTTGTTCATTTCTAGCTTTATTTCTTGGGGTTAGAGAAGACACTTCTTATGGTTTCAAACTATAAAATTTTGTTGAGACTTGTTTTATAATCTTCATGTGTCCTATCCTGAAGAATGTTTAATATACATTGGGAAAGTATGTATTCTGCTGTTGTTGGGTGGAATGCTCTTTATAAGTTAAATCTTGTTGATTTATAGTATTGCTCAAGTCTTCTGTTTCCTCTTTTTATCTCAAAAGGCTCTTCACATAACTTTCCTCAGGTATGAAGGACAGACTTCCAGCAATCTGAAAGGCAACAGGAAAGCAGCATTTTTGTCTCATGTTTCATTCCCACTAAACTTATAAAGAAACAAACAAACATTTTTTTTTAAAAAAAGCATAAAAGTTCTTTTTAAACTTTCTTTTAAGTTGAGGGGTACATGTACAGGATATGTAAGCTTGTTACATAGGTAAATATGTAACAAACATGTTTATGTTTCATGGGGGTTTGTTGTACAGATTATTTCATCACCCAGGTATTGAGCCTAATACCCATTAATTGTTTTTCCTGATCCTCTCCCTCCTCCCACCTTTCACCTTCTGATAGGCTCCAGTGTGTGTTGTTCTCTTCTACGTGTCCACATGTTCTCATCATTTAGCTCCCACTTATAAGTGAGAATATGTGGTTTTGGTTTTCTATTCCTGCATTAGTTTGCTAAAGGTAATGGCTTCCAGCTCCATCCATGTCCTTGCAAAGAACAAAATCTCATTCTTTCTTATGGCTGCATAGTGTTCCATGGTGTACATACATGTACCACATTTTCTTTACCTAGTCTATCTTTGATGGGCATTTGGGTTGATTTCACATCTTTACTATTGTGATTAGAGCTGCAATGAACACACGTTTGTGGTTAGAGCTCCAATGAAAATACGTGTGCATGTGTCTTTATAATATAACAATATATATTCCTGTATATCCCAGTAATGGGATTGCTGGGTCGAATGGTATTTCTCTCTTTCAGTCTTTGAGGAATTGCCACACTGTCTTCAACAATGGTTGAACTAATTTACACTCCCATCAACAGTGTATAGCATTCGTTTCTCTCCACAACCTTCCCAACATCATATTTTTTGCCTTTCTAATAATAGCCATCCTGACTGATGTGAGATGGTATCTCATTACGGTTTTGATTTGCGTTTCTCTAATGATCAGTAATGTATATCTTTTTTTCATATGCTTATCAGTTGCATAAGACTTGTTTTTTATTACAAAACAAGCCTTATATTATTGTTCCCATGAGGTTTCAAAAGAGCATATGCCATCAGTTTTAATCACACAGAACTAAGATGCAGCTTTAGACACTTTGGTTTGATTCATTTAGTAGGTTACATGCTTTTTAAAATTAATAATTATTTTTATATAATAGGACCAGGAGAATAAGTCTATGTACAAAGATTTTAATATTCTCAGATTTAGGAGACATTTAAATTATGTGGGTTATGACCCAGATCAGTCGGAATTTCTCAGGATGGATCGTACCTCGGTATGATGATTTGTATAAAGCTCCCAAAGTGATTTAAAGTTGAGAAGCACCAATAGAAGAGATTATCTGTGGATATTATCATCAGAGTAGTTATTTAAGTAGTTAGTGACACTCATCAATCTACGCATTTTTCTGAGAGGAAATAGATGAGTTCTGATATATGTATCCAGTTGCTGATGAGTTCCTGAGTGACTTTTTCAGTTGTGTCCATTTTGTGTGGATCATGTTTTTTATCACTAATTGACAACTAACAACTTTTGGGGTGGACAGTACTGTTAATCCTAGTTTATAGAGGAGAAGATGAAACTTAGTAAGGATAAGAAATGTGCCTAATGCAACCCATATAGCAAGCTGAAGAGTCTGAATTAAAACCCAGCTAAACACAGCACATCCAAAATCAATTATAACCTTAATAGAATAGCCAGCATGTTTTGTTGGCCACTATGTTCCAACAGTTTCCATTAGGATATCCCTGTTATCACTCTTAAATTATTATTTAGCATATCACTTTATATTCAGTCACTCAAGTCATCCTTTTCTTTTTATCATTAGAATGACTCTTTTCAAGAGACCAACGAACTTCACTAAGGAAGATTTCTGCCATTAAAATTTTAAGTCAAGTCACATAATTTTGCCGGTTAAGTTTAAAGTGTAGATGAAGTGGTGTGATTTCATCATTCTGATTAACTGAGTGTTTTGTAAAAAGAAACTTGGAAATGTAGGAATAATTGTGCTTTGTATAATTTGAACTTATTTTTACATAGATTTCTGAAGGGAGGAGAAAGAAAAACTTAATTCTTGCTGGCCACCTACAGAACTAAAAGCCCCTGGCATCTTTCCATCCGGTAATAGCAAATAGATCACAGACTGCGAGAAAAGTGTGCCTTGTATGCTGGAATTATTAGAACTCACAAGTGCCGGGCGCGGTGTCTCACGCCTGTAATCTCAGCACTTTGGGAGGCCAAGGCAGGCGGATCACGAGGTCAGGAGATCGAGACCATCCTGGCTAACACGGTGAAACACGTCTCTACTAAAAATACAAAAAATTAGCCGGGCATGGTAGCGGGCTCCTGTAGTCCCTGCTACTCGGGAGGCTGAGGCAGGAGAATGGCGTGAACCTGGGCGGCGGAGCTTGCAGTGAACCGAGATCGTGTCACTGCACTCCAGCTGGGGTGAAAGAGCGAGACTCCATCTGAAAAATAAAATAAAATAAAATAAAAAAACAACAACTCACAAGCTTCCAAAAGTTAATGAAAGGCCATACAAGAATGATAACTAACTTGAAAATGAGAAGTACCATGAACGTGTTGATGCTTAGAAAACTTAATGAAGAGAAAGCAAAACCAGCTGCTACATGAGCCAAAGACAGAAAAGAGCAGAACACAGAGAATCACATTTTATCCAGAGGCAAGTAATACCAAAGACACAATAGTGACATCTTCGACAGTATGTTGGTCCATGGAATTCTTTAATATAACATCACTAGAAAGACTAGTACTTATTACGCCTGGTATAACAAAGAGCTGATCAAAAACACTTCATAATTCAGCATAGATTTTAAATGAACAAGAGGCTCTTAGTGCCAAAATTTAAAGAGTAATTTTTTCCAGTTACTATGCCAAATGAATGTGTTTAATCATTCAAACGGTTATTTTTTTATCCCATGTCAAAGTAGATAATCCTATGTTGAGAAACAAGACACTTACAAATTTATTTCCAGTCTCTTCAGAATCCAAATTGTTGCCAAGTCACCAAAAATATAAAATCGGAATTTGTTGCTATTAAGAAGAAAAAGATATACTTGTATTGATTCCAGCAGGAGGAGAAAGACAGTGACTATCCATGCCCTCTTAATTATGTCTGATATTGTAACATCAGGAAGCTTTGCTCTTCAAAGCTTTGCTCTTCAATAACATCAGGAAGCTTTGCTCAATAGAGTTTTAAACAAATGTTATAATTTATTGCTACTTGCAATAACTTAGTAAACCTCATTTATCTCATTGGAAAAGTTAGCACACTGGCTAAGAAAAGCTTATTTTTATATCCTATTCATTCAAGGGTAGAGTAGAAAAATAACTTATACCATGATCAGCTGTTGAAATTATCTATATTTCTGGGTAAGAATCATGTCTATGTTTATTTCCATGAGTTTTATTTCATCTCTGGTGCAGGCCATTCTGACTGCAGTCATCAGAGGCTGAGGTTACTCTTCTCTTGCAAACAATAGATTTCTAAATTAGTGAGCAGAAATGTTCTCCCTTTATTCCTATAGAGCCCAGTAATTCCCTGGGCCTCAGAAAAGCTGGAAAGTTTCAGTTGTAAATTTGGCGAAAACCACTCTAAAAGCCCTGATGGCTTTTTTTTTTTTTTTTTTTTCTATCTCTACGTTCATGCTTCTGTCTAGCATTCTTTTCTTGTGAGTGGCAAAGCTTTTCAAAAGTAGTGATATCCAATTTTGACTCAGGGAGAAAAATAGTTTGACATATAGCCCTCTCCTGCTTCCCGTTCCCAAGCCTCATAAACTTCTTTTCAAAGGCTTATTCTTCTAGGTTACTTAGATGTTCTTTTGACAGAATTGGTCCAAATTGGTTCTGTTAAGCTCCCCAAAGGTACACAGTGCATAATACGACCTTTGCAGCTTTCTTGTGAATGCAGTCGTGTCAAACTCCACTGAGCCTTGACAGAATTAGCTCTGCTAATCCTGACAGGGCAGGTTTCACAACCAGCATACAAAGCTCCCTTGTTTGCCTAAAATAGCAACCTTTCCTTTCTCTCTCTCTATCCCTGTATTTCTGTGATTTATGCCTTAATGCATGTTAATACCTGTACAATGCATTCCTACAGCTATTGCCATAAACAGAAAGTAAATCATACTTGAATTGAGGGACTCCTTTCCTGGGAGGAAAACGATTACAATTGTTCTTTCACATATTCACAAGGACTTATTAATCTCTTGATCAGGTTCACCTTGAAAGCAATAATGAAAATAACACATGAGAGTAAGTGTAAATAGGCAAGGATTTTGTCAATGGTATTTGCCTTCTCCAGGCAGTAAAAAAGAAAGCACGGATGTTTGTGTCAGACTTCTATAAAAACTGAAAGAAAAAAAGGTGCTTTTGAACATGGAATAATTTTTTTCTTTATTATACTTTAAGTTCTGGGGTACCTGTGCAGAACGTGCAGGTTTGTTACATAGGTATACACGTGCCGTGGTGGTTTGCTGCACCCATCAACCCGTCACCTACATTAGGTATTTCTCCTAATGTTATCCCTACCCTAGCTCCCAACCCCTGACAGGCCCTGGTATGTGATGTTCCCCTCCCTGTGTCCATGTGTTCTCATTGTTCAACTCCCACTTATGAGTGAGAACATGTGGTATTTGGTTTTCTGTTCCTGTGTTAGTTTGCTGAGAATGACGGTTTCCAGCTTCATCTATGTTTGTGCAATGGACATGAACTCATCCTTTTTTATGGCTGCGTAGTATTCGATGGTGTATATGTGCCACATTTTCTTTATCTAGTCTATCATTGATGGGCATTTGAGTTGGTTCCAAGTCTTTGCTATTGTGAACAGTGCTGCAATAAACAGAAGTGTGCATGTGTCTTTATAGTAGAATGATTTATAATCTTACAGGTAAGAATTTTTAAGATGAAGTCTTAAATGCCATGTCTCAGAGACACATCTAGGTTTTTTTTTTTTGCCAGCTATGTTGAGACCAATAAAATAATAAGTGAATTTTATGTTTATCCTAGTCCCCAAAGGTAATTTAATGAACTAAAAGCATAAAAGCACAATACAGTGTTAATTATTGTTAACAAAATGAGTCCTGCAGACAATCCTTTAGGTTACTTAACTCATTGAAAATTTTTAAATCAACCTTAATATCCATCCATGATAACTAATTAGTGTCTCTTGATTAAGCAAACAGATGTTTGTTTTTTGGTAAAACTTGAATCTGAAACGGTGCCTACAAATGATATTTTCCACCCTGCTTTAATCCCTATCCCAGATATAACTTGTAATATAACATAGTAAATATATTTTTACTCCAGGCAAATGATCAATCTATCCCACAGATTTTCCTTCATCAGTCTAGGATGTCAATTACTGTGTCTATTCCCATTGGTTTATCAGAATGGCCTGTAGTATAACAAGGTAGTCTCGTCATTTTGATCCTGCATTAGATAGAAAATCACTCCATCACTACTTCCTTCCACATAGGTGTCCTTGCATGCACAAATATACTCCAGCACTCAAGGGTTCTATCAGTAGGTAGGTCTCCTATTGCATGCATGAAAGAATATATTTAGTAAGTTCAGGTGAAGAAGGAAATTAGGATTTGGTAATATTGAATTATTGTAGGTAATGAAGGTGAGCAGAAGAGAAAAATGAACAAGAAAGGAATAAATTATATGGGAGGTCTTTGGTCCTTCACTTGATCCTTTAAGCTGGTATTGAACCCCCAAGAAAAGTAAAAAGTAGATATTTTAAAAATAAATGTTCTTTATGTTTGTGTACATGTGTGTATTTGCAAAATGTGGCACAGAATTAAGAAGGAGGTTCTTCTTGTGTCTCACTGAGTAGAATACAACTCAATTCAGAACCAAAATGATAATTCACTTGAGTAATACACCAATATCACTGTCTTCATAGACACCGGCATTCCAGTCATGGGCAATGACATCTCCAAGACAAGATGCACAGTTAGCAGAGATCTTCAGCAGAACTGGCAGAGAGGGACAAACACCAAGCTACATGGTGTTTGTGGGATGACCCAAAACATAATAATCAGGGACTTGTTTAAGAGAAGGTGCTATGAAACCTGTAGATATCTCTGTGGTTTTTACAAAAATGTTATTTATTCAGATCCTTTTTTTCCAGAAAGAAAAATTGTCATTGTATCCTCTTCTCTTAAATGAAAAACACACTTAGACCTTCAAGATGAAAGTGATTTAGGAGAAAAAGAGGACCTGTCATGACGACTTGAGAGGGGATATTATGAAATATTTTTATGTAGGTTTGTTGAAAGAATAATTATATGAGAGGTGAGGCCAAACTATTTCACAGGTTATTGATGTGTGTTTTCCAAATTTCTATTAAACATTGTTTTTCATAGTTCATTGTCTTCATTTAGTTGATATTTTGTGTATAAGTGTTTATTCCAAATATCTGTGAGTATAATTTTACATTGCTAGTTCAAACAATACATGTTATTTTCAACTCTTTTCCTCCTGTATATTATATCAGTGGCTTTATCCCATGTAATAACAAGAGTTCTTGATAAATAGTATATGTAATGACCCATAACACTCAACCATAAGAATATACAATAATTTATTAAATTATTTCTCCATTGTTGTTTCAAAGTTATAATGTTGTGATGATAATATTGTGGATATATCTCACAGACATTAATCATATTTTAAAACTGGAAACCATGAGGTTTTTAATTTTTTAGGGACTTGGAACACTTTATAAACAGTATTCACAATTCAAGTTTTAGCTTGCAGTTCTGCCAAATCTACACTTTAGAAAAAAAAGAAAGAGAAAAAGGAAGGGAGAAGGTGTCAATTATCTACTGCGCTGCTATGGGAAATCTAGCTATTTTAAGTACATCCTTCAATGTGGGTACTGACTTCACTTATCCTCTTCCAAACAACTTCAGATTTAGAATGCTCCATTTCATTAAGTATTTTAAAATATTATTCAGTTGAAAAGAGGCCTATCTCATAAGGAACTTTTAGGTAACTGAACAATTTGATGCAGATTCTACCTCCTCCAGATATTTCCTGTTGAGATTCCTGGTCTGAAACTTATTTAAAGTGATTACATAAAAAGAACTCCAATCATCCCAGACTGCTCTCTTTTGCTTGCATATAGGGATTCTTTTCTGACTGGTCTCTAAGCAGCACACAATTTCTGTTACCTTTAATGGTGCTTATCATAATAGGTCTGGAATGCACAAATAGTAAGATTTTACATTTTCTCTAAATAACAAAGCAATAAATGTTGCTTTAAATAAATGATGGAAAAATTTCTTTGTAATCCTGTATGCAAATCCACAAAAAGTTAGGTAACAAAACCAATATCTTTGTTAACCTTCAGACTGAGAAACCAAAGTAAAATTCTCTCTGCATTATTTCCTCTTTTAAATTAATAAAAACAATGGGAATGAGAAATCAAAATAGAAACTGTGTCATTGATGACACCAGAAGACATTATTGTTCCCAACTCATGGTAAGAACAAAAAGTTGTCAATGGCAATAAAATAAAATGGACAAAGGTAAGAAAGGATTCTGAAGGAGACTGAATCTTATACTACCAGAGTTTCACAGGATTCTTTAATAAATCAACTGGAAAAAAATATGTGGTGTATCTACCTCATCCCAATATACACAAACATGTTCTGCAAAGATTGTACATAAACTATTTCTAAAAAAAGAAATTGAAAATGTATATCATAGGCAATTAGTCCATAAAATTTAACTAAGACTTTAAACAACTTACAAAGAATGTGAAGGACCTCTTCAAGGAGAACTACAAACCACTGCTCAAGGAAATAAAAGAGAACATAAATAAATGGAAAAACATTCCATGCTCATGAATAGGAGGGATCAATATTGTAAAAATGGCCACACTGTCCAAAGTAATTTATAGATTCAATGCTATCCCCATTAAGCTATCATTGACTTTCTTCACAGAATTAGAAAAAGCTACTTTAAACTTCATATGAAACCAAAAAAAGAGCCCGCATAGCCAAGACCACCCTAAGCAAAAAGAACAAAGCTGGAAGCATCATGCTACCTGACTTCAAACTATACAACAAGGATACAGTAAACAAAACAGCATGGTACTGGTACCAAAACAGATATATAGACCAAGGAACAGAACAGAAGCCTCCGAAATAACACCATACATCTGCAACCATCTGATCTTTGACAAACCTGACAAAAAAAAGCAATGGAGAAAGGATTCGCTAATTTATAAATGGTGTTGGGAAAACTGGTTAGCCATATGCAGAAAACTGAAACTGGACCCCTTCCTTACACCTGATACAAAAATTAACTCAAGATGGATTAAACACTAAACATAAGACCTAAAACCATAAAAATCCTAGAAGAAAACCTAGGCAATACCATTCAGTATATAGGCATGGGTAAAGACTTCATGTCTAAAACACCAAAAGCAATGGCAACAAAAGCCAAAATTGACAAATAGGATCTAGTTAAACTAAAGAGCTTCTGCACAGCAAAAGAAACTATCATCAGAGTGAACAGGCAACCTATCCACCTGAGAAAGAGCTAATATCCAGAATCTACAAAGAACTTAAATTTACAAGAAAAAAAAAAAAAACAACCCCATCAAAAAGTGGGCGAAGGAGATGAATAGACACTTCTCAAAAGAAGACATTTATGTAGCCAACAAACATATGAAAAAAAGCTCATCATCACTGGTCATTAGAAAAATGCAAATCAAAATCACAATGAGATACCATCTCATGCCAGTTAGAATGGCGATCATTAAAAGTTAGGAAACAACAGATGCTGGAGAGGATGTGGAGAAATAGGAACACCTTTACACTGTTGGTGGGAGTGTAAACTAGTTCAACCATTGTGGAAGACAGTGTGGCAATTCCTCAAGGATCTAGAACTAGAAATACCATTTGACCCAGCAATGCCATTACTGGATATATACCCAAAGGATTATAAATCATTGTACTATAAAGACACATGCATATGTATGTTTATTGTGGCACTATTCGCAATAGCAAAGACTTGGAACCAACCCAAATGTCCATCAATGATAGACTAGATAAAGAAAATGTGGCATATATACATTATAGAATACCATGCAGCCATAAAAAAAGGATGAGTTCATGTCCATTGCAGGGACATGGATGAAGCTGGAAACCATCATTCTCAGCAAACTAACACAGGAACAGAAAACCAAACACTGCGTGTTCTCACTCATAAGTGGGAGTTGAACAATGAGAACACATGGACACAGGGAGGGGAACATCACACACCAGACAGACCCTGTCTGGGGGTGGGGGGTGCTAGGGGATGGATAGCATTAGAAGAAATACCTAATGTAGGTGACGGGTTCATGGGTGCAACAAACAACCATGGCACGTGTATACTTATGTAACAAACCTGCACGTTTTGCACATGTACCCCAGAATTTAAAGTATAGTAATTAAAAAAAAAAAAAGAAAGTGAGTACAATCAGGGCAGCAACTTCCTCTGTTTTTCTATTTCCCTGGTTGAATTAATGAAGACTCTATAACCTAAAATCTGAAAAGAATTCATGAAGATCTAAATCTCCAACATGCTGTCACTGCCTCTATGTTCTAAGAAGCAAAGATAATTCTACCTTGAAAAAAATTTAACCAAAAAGTAAATTAATTTTTAATATGCAATTAAAATGTATCTTTGTCTAAATGAAAAGTAAATTGAGAAAAATACTGGGAAATCATTGGAGATAAAAGACATACTGGAGCAAAGTAATATAATAGACAAAAAACTAATTATTCTAATGTGAAAGAATTTTTAAGGCACAAGTAATTGAATTAAATATTAACAAAGCTATAAATACATAGATAACAGTAAAATAAAAACTCACATTTAACATGCAGATTCAGCTTTACTTAAAACTAAAGAAATGAAAAAAATAAATATTTTTTTCTCATCAAATTGATGTTGAAGTTAAATATTGAAAATATATCATTATGGCAACCGTGTGGGGAAACAATTCTCATATATTGTTGCCAACCACAAAATTGAGAAAGCTTCTTTGGAGGACCTTTTGGAAATATATATTACAATTTAAAATTCATATATCTTTTCTCTCTATCTGTTGTAGTCTTTACAATTTATTTGAAAAACCATTCTCACACCTATGCAAATGTGTACACAAATATAAATGGTACGGATATAAAAATAGTATATAGATATATACTATGGTGTTTCTTTTTTTGTAAGAGCAAATGGATACAAAGAATTAAAATAGTAAGGATAGACTTTTGGTTAAATAAATTATTGTATTGTCAAGTGGAATATTCCACTATATTGTGCTGCTATAAAGCCCATTTGTGTGTGTGTGTGTGTGTGTGTGTGTGTGTGTGTATGTGTATTTACACACAGAGCATTAGTGATTTATCTGGGAGGTTAACTAGTCATCTGAAAAAGGAAAGACTTCTTTTTGGAAAGTCGTTTTTGTTGTGCCTGTGTATTACATTTTCTGTAAAATATACTACAGTGATTTAAAATATGATGTATTTCTGTAAGCAGCTATGGGAAAAAAAAGCTCCAAGTCATTTTGTTAAGTAGAAAAAAAAAGATGAAATTTAGCATCCCCAGTACACTCGTGAGCACACTGTTAGGGATGAGAAGACTTAGGTTTTCTTCACATGACTTTATCATCCAAACAGGCATCCATTATCTTTCAGATCTATTAATAGACAGATTGATAGATATACACTAATATATAAAGATACATTATGCATATTAACACCATCTTAGCGTGAAAAGTAAATTGATCAATCTTAGTCATCTCTTTATGAATTTGCAACATTAGAATGCTTATCATTCCCTTACATTTCAATGCATTAATATATTTTTCTTTTCACTTTTTTGACATTGTATTTAAAAAGAAAATTGAGATTATACACAATTGCATGATAAAATAATCTAAATTTTTACTTAAAGTTCTGCTTTTGTTTAGTATTGATTTCTTTCACGCAATTATTTCTTCCTTTTGTGTTTTGTTAACTGAGGTATAAGTATTACTAGATACACATAGAAAATTTTCGGCCTATTTGCCCAATGATATTAGTTAATTAAAAGAACAAATGTTAAAGCTTAATGTATTTTAGATATTATATCAAAGGTTAGGGACTCTGGTGCACTGTTTTTCTAGTTTAATTCTTTAAAAATAATTAAAGAGTGACTAATGTAAAATTAGAATATTTTCTCAAAAATGGAGAACAGTGGGTTTTATATACGTAATTTAACATTAATATGCTTTATTTCAAATAAATTCTCATTCCAGTTTAAACAATAAAATGTCCCCATGTGTTTTAATATTCATTTTGAGAAATTCTTTCTGCATTATTCTATGTTGTCTATTTCATTTGCTATATTATGAAAATTAATCTCCAAGATAGCATTAAAGTTGACTGGGGGAGTGGGGAACAATAGAATTGAGAGACACAAGACAGTATTACCAACCACGGTATTCAGTGAACCTCTTATCTTGGACTCATGTTCTATTAAACTGACCAGAAGAGACTAATGACAAGGGTCTAAAAGACAAGTTTAAGACTGAAGAGTCTGAATTCAATCAATTTCCTGGAGTGCTAACGAGTAGTTGGACCTCAAGATCGGTATCAGTCAATGGATGTTCCATCGGATCTCTAGTAACATGGCAAATTTCAATTTACTTTTACCTACACAGGCAAAGGCAGGCTTTTATTGGTAGGAATCTTGATTTGAGTATTTTTCACCTGTGTGAGCCCAAGTGCTATATTTGGCTGTATGGCCTATTCACTAACATCAAAAATATAATCACGTTTTAATTCATTTTATGTTCTCCTTTAATCCATGCTTTCAAAAAATTAATAAAAAGCATATTAGCATATGTACTTTACTACTACTTTTTTTTATAAGGGATGTTTCCCTTAATTTATATCTCTTTAAACTTCCAGTTACTCTGGATATTACACTCCTTAATTTTCCTTTGTTCTTGTTGACATATATAGCAGACACTTCATTAAACAAATATATAAATGCAATTTATAACTCACTATGGTAATTAATACTTAATTAGTATTGTCCAATAGTGTAGAAAATATTCACTTATATTGACTTTTATTAAGCTAAGAAGACACAAACAAGATAATATTTTAGATAAGAAAGATAATTTTTAGTCACCAATTATAAGAAAAATGTTTTTCCTAATTTTCTCAGAAAGATGAACTTGTGGATTTAAATATATGAAGATGATGCAATCTAATTGAATGAATTAAGAAAAATATCATATGCAAATAGAACAGCTTATATTTTGCAAAACTAAAAACTGAGGGTAGGGCTGTGAGTTATTTACTTTGTATCTGCAAATCCTAATACAATAACTGATCTTTAAAATACTCTCAGTAGGCCAGGCGCGGTGGCTCACGCCTGTAATCCCAGCACTTTGAGAGGCCGAGGCGGGTGGATCATGAGGTCAGGAGATCGAGACCATCCTGGCTAACAAGGTGAAACCCCCGTCTCTACTAAAAATACAAAAAATTAGCCGGGCTCGGTGGCGGGTGCCTGTAGTCCCAGCTACTCGGGAGGCTGAGGCAGGAGAATGGCGTGAACCCGGGAAGCGGAGCTTGCAGTGAGCCGAGATTGCGCCACTGCAGTCCGCAGTCCGGCCTGGGCGACAGAGCGAGACTCCGTCTCAAAAAAAAAAAAAAACTCTCAGTAAATGTATTATATTTATTATTTTATTGAATGAAACTATCACTGACTCACTGAATAAATCAGAAGATGTGTCAGTTTTCTGGGAAGCTTGATAACACTTACCATTTTCACATTGATTCAAAGTACTTGTGTAGCCAAAAGAATTCTGAGTTACACCTGCAGCCTATCACATTGCTATTAATTACTGATTAGGTGTTCAATTCTTGGGGTATTTAGTTTCTTATCTGTAACCAGAGATGCTCCACTCATTTTTAACATACTGCAAGAAATTTACTCAAAATTTCATAAACTTTATAGACAAATTATCTCATAATAGCTTTAATTTTTAGCTGGCATTTTCTGCTCTTTTTTCTTTTTCCCCAAATATATAGGTTTTCTTTTAAAAGTATGGAAAAGAGTCAATCCACTCCATTTTCACACAGCATAATCTCTGCAGAGTGCAGCTTCAACATAATTAGTGAGACATGAACTCTGCCAATAGCCAGAAGCAACCTCTACTTAACCTCTTGGTGTGGTGGAAGGGTCAACAACATACAGCAATTCCACTGGCTAGAAATGATGATGACAACTATTAAAGAATCTTTTTTTTCTCCTGTTACCTGCAAGGACCAATCAGAAATGATTTATGTTTTTTAAAATAGTATCTCATTTATTTATTATTTGTTATTTTTAGCTGATCCATGAATCTCTAATAGGAACATATAAAAACTAAACTTCAGCTCAATAACGACCACAAATGATATAGCAACACTTTTGCTTTCTATACATAAGAAGAAATTTGTGAGAAAAGTGACAACAGGATTAATGAAGACTGTTTTTATTTTTTTCTCATCTGTGCAATAAACTCTTGGAAAAGTTTACCACTAGCAGAAAGGGGGAAGAAACAAAACTTACCAATATATTTGGTATCTGTGGAATTTAATGTGATTGGGTAGGTCAAATTCATTTTTACCAGTAGCAATGAATCCAGTTTTAATGTACAGTAAGCCCTTATAGATAGGTATATATTTATCTGAGTAACATTTCTTTGAGTTATGTTTCAAGACTTAGTTAGCACCTTGCTATTTTCATGTCTTGCCCGGTGATGATAATAAAACATTTATTTGTAGTTACCTTTAACATTTCTTTTGATTTATGATATTATTCAACACCATCCTTTTGTAATACATTACTTATTTATATTATCATAAAGCACATTCACAGAATCTGTATTCCTCTCTAAACTTCAACTCACTACTGTATAGTTACTTTGATATTTCCTCCCACAGACAAGTATGGGCACAACTTGTGTTAATTGAATTTTCTCTTTTAGATTACCAACCACAAAATATTACAATTCATTAAGTTAATAATTTAACTATTTTTTCTGATGCCCTTAGATGTTTCATTCTGTTCATCAAATGTGAATAGTGGCCCTTCACATAGGAGACAATCTGGTAGTGATGATTTTCTATTTCTATAATAGGCCTCATAAATTTTTCAAAAAAACTTAACTTGAATAGGATAGAATAATATCAACTTGTATTGTAGAGTTCAAAGAAATGTCACATTTTCCTTTCAAGATTATTTTGTATTTCCTTACTGTTTGAAAATGGTATTAATAAACACTAAATCTTTTTGACTGTGTAATCTGAATTCATCCAGAATTATCAGCTTGGTAGCAATAGTGCTTGTATATTTGTCATTACTTTATATAGAAACATTAAACTTCATACGTTGAACATACTGAAGAAACTACTACATCAAATTTTCTTTTTTTATTCAAGTGGAAATAGAGACCTGGAGAGCTTAAGATAATTTCTGTTTAGGTAGTTTAAGTACCAGCAGGGTAAGGTCAAGAACTATAGTCTTATGATTCCTGATTCAATGCTTATATTAACCTTTTGTCATTAGGCAGCCTCTTTCTTCTCTAGTGTCACTTATCTTTGCAAATATTCCATATTCTATTATGAAGTGTCCCTAATTATCATATTGTGTCTTTATACCATTGGAAAGTAGTATTTTTCCACTTCCTTTAAGTTAAATATAAATCAGCTTCCTAAATTGCTGACGTGACATCAGCAGAAAACTTAATTTATGAAAAAGTCACATTTATATATATATACAAGGGATATATATATACATTATATATGTATATGCATTATGAATGTATATAGCATGCTTATATACATAGTGTATATATATATTCTAATAGTAAGACTAGAATCGTAGTAAGATCTAGTCAATGGAAAATAAAGCAGTCTGGACTTCTCTGAAAGAATACCCAGTAGTCTCTCTTAGTTATGTTCAAGTTTTGAATAATTTTTCTGGAAATTATCATCAACCCATCAATACACTGAATACTCCTCTCTGAAGGTCTTTTGAAAAAAAAATTATTTAACAAAATTTATTATGAAACCAGCGTTTCTGCAGGTGGATTGCAATGAAAATATTAGGCAAATGATTTGGATTTTGCTCTTTTTCAATGCTGTGGGCTTCAGATTCTACCTCATGCCCACCCCGCTCCCTAGAAGCATGAGAGTATTTTCATGTGTGTTAGCAATGTCCACTGTTGTGGGTTCAAGATCTTTGAGAATATCTAAATAATATTGAAATCTGTCACTGAAATCTCATTGAAATATGTTCTGTTGAGGATATGTAGAATCCTATTTTGGTACAGTCCTAATGAACTGGATTCAGATTCTGAAATATGAAGCATTACTATGCCATTCTGGAATAGAAAGAAAGGAGAAAATTAACATGAAAGAAAAGCCTTAAACTTTTACCTAGTTTTGTCTTTTGCAGAATGCATTAAGTGCTGTTTATCCTATTCAATCCATTACAAAAAGGAACCAAGAACCAAGTTGACACAGTAGTCATGCCTTGGGCAAGAGGAAGGCTGCACATCCTTAGTAGAGCACTTTGAATGTTACTCACATTGGACACAAGATGGAATCCGAAACCGTGATTTCCCCGGTTTCTGAATCTCATGTTGTCCCCAGAGGCATGAATTTAGAAAGGGAGATTTGCACATCGTTGCATTTCCTCCATCATCTGAAGGAAGTTGAAGTAATGAATCTGTGAAAAGATAAATTAATAGTGATGTGACTTCATCTTGAAAACACAGGTTGACAAGCCTATATTCTACCTACTAAATAAAACTTCACTACCACATTACACTCAGCTACTACTGGTATCTTCATCATTTATATAAAGAATATATGTGCCAGAAGAAATCCTGTAGATCCTTTCCATAAACAATCTTAGTACATAAGACAATTGATCAGCATCTTTCCATGTCTCAATAAACTGAATACAATAGAAATTTAACTACTAACTTTTTGGAAGTATAAATAACAAATATGAGCTAAGTTAAAGAACTTTTATGATAGTCTATGTTTATCAAATTACATTGATAATTAGATGATATTTTGGCATTTAAATATTTCTGCCTTTGTAATTCCATATTGTATCCAGATATTTTCATTTAATACATTTATTTATAATCATAAACCTAAGTATTCTATTTTACCCATTATACCTAGTAATTAGAGCAGTACTTGAACAAGAAACTCAATAAATATTTTAAAGTATCACAATATGCAGATAGAATAGATTGTCCTAGATAATCTTCTTCTGAAGCCTGAAAAACATCATAGAGTGGCAAATATTTCCTTTAAGTAGCACAGAACATTCCTCTCAGTCAAACAATAAATGTATTCATTCGTGTTCATTACCTCAAATTCATGATTTGTTGAAATAGACATTTTAGCACTAGTGTTGGTGGTGGTGTGTGCATTTCCGAATATAAAGATGATTCATTCTGCAAAAACAACCTGTTACAAAATCAGGACTTTGAATTTCTTCAGAAGAACTCCTACTTGGTCCCAAACCACGGAAAGTTTGTCATTTCCCTCAGGCTATTGGCAATAATATATCCTTGGCATAAAGTTTGCTCTAATCTAATAGTAATTTCAAATTAAGGAAAATAAGATAAATGAAAGTTGAGGGGAAAGTTCAAGATATTATATCATGTAATTTTATTTCATTTAGATTTGCTCTATTCCTCTTTTTGACCAGTAATTATTATAATGATATTCCCCACTTTATTTCCAAAATGATCACAGGAAAAGGTTTTGAAAACATTGTTATCACAGTAAAGCCTAAGATCAGGCAATTAGTAATGTCAAGCCATGATAAATGCTGTTACTCATCTAGAATTCTTTGAAGTATCTTATTTTATTTCTATTATCTACAGGTTGACCGTGTGAAGTCTAGACAGATTATTTTTCCAAAGAACTAAATCATGTATGCCTTGATTATTATTTATAAACTGGTAGACACCATTTTGTTTGTTTCTGTATGAATATTTTCCAAGGGCATAAAAAGTAATAAAAGGTATTTAAAATTTTTCATGTAATGTTTTCTGGAATCTTTTGTTGCAAAGGTCTTTTTCTCAGTGCCTTTCTTTCTGAGATTTCCTGCATATGGAATTCGCATTGTTTAAAGTTCTCTGTGAAGCAATATGCTTTATTAAGGCATGGCTCTTACCCTAGGGACTTTCTAACATACAGTACTTGTCATGGTTTTCATTTCTAAAGAGCTGACACAACTCAGGGGTCAGTGCCTTGTAATTTTTGTATCCAATTTCCGGCAGTTTGTGTTGCCAGAGAGATCATACAGAAATTCTGATTCAGGAAGAATATGGTCATTTGATTTTTTTAAGAGTTTGGTTGTGTGAAAAACGTCATCACTGTTCTGCAAGCTGCCCAGGATTACTTTCTACTGTTAGGTGACTTTTTACCTTTAACTTGAACACTGTACCAAGATTTGTCACTCATGGCTGGTGTTCCCCTGCAGGAAACAGTCAAAATATGCAAACACAACTTGACAGGTTTTCTCACCAATTTCTCCTCTCAACTCAAAAAATAAAGGATACAATTTTGTATTCTGACTATAGTCAAAATTTTGTTCTTATTGAAAAAGCTATCCTGAATGAATTAACTTTCAAACATCCCAACAAAATAGTGCATTTGTACTTTATAATCTGATACAAGGGAGAACTTATATATGACTAAGTTCTTATTTGAGAGAAGCTAGTTATAAAGTTTGGAAATTAAAAATTGGGTAGCCTGAATGTTTAAAAATATATATTAAAGTAAATGCTCATTGTCAAACATAAAATCTAGTTTTTCTTTAGCCTGAGAAAACGTAACTAAGATGATTTCAACATTGTCCTCAACTTAACTAAACTTTAGACCAGTTTCCTCCTAGCTCCCCTTTTTCTTAGAACATTTACTTAAAAAAACTTGCAATTGTAAATTATTTATCTGTTTTCTTGAAATATAAATCTCCTACCACACTCTTGCTAGTTTTACAACCCAGGAACGTCTTTCTCAAGAACCTGGGAGCCATCCCAATTGGAATGTAATCAGTAAGAAAGAGTGGCCTTATCTACCAGTCTCTGTAGGAAGATGGGAGCATAACTTCTATAAGTACCTAAAGTAAGTACCTAAAGGTTACTTGAACACCAGCACCAATGCATGATAGTCAATCTGATAACAAGATGGCTGCTAAATGACTAGCAGCGGGTTGGAATATACAGCAGGTAGTATATACAGCATGGGCATGCTGGGCAAGGGATGATCATGTCCAGGTGAGATGGAATGAAACAATATAAGATTACATCACACTACTCAGAACGACATGTAATTTAAAACATAAATTGTTTATCACTGGAATTTTTCATTTAATATTTTCAGACCCCTGGTTGACTGCAGGTAACTGAAACTGTAGAAAGTGAAACGATGAATAAGGGGAACAACTATACCAGCAAAACACACGGCCCCAGTAGATATCCCATGATGGCTGCACATCTAGGAAGAGAGGATTCAAGATCTGAGTAAAGGCAGCTTCTGACCTCGTGATTGGCTTTGTAATATCTCTGATATTATGTGGAGCAAGACTCCAAATCGCCATAAGTTCTTATTCAAAACTAGGGGTCAGTGGAAGCAAATACAAAACTCGAAGATGGAAAGGAATGAGCAAAGCAGTAGGGACAGAGATAGAGAAGATACAAACAAAATACTTGTCAACCAAAGTGAGCCACCCACCCATATCCAAAAACATGCTAACACATTGAGGTTATTATAAAAAAGAAGTCAACAGCCAGGCAGGAACTCCTGATAATATCAATTTTATTGAAGAATCTGAAAACTATATTCAAATTAGTCTCTTCAAGATAGTCAGAAAAATAAAAATTCATAATGGTATTAATTTAATCTATAATAATCAGTTTTCATTAAAAAAGGCAAGAAATTAGAAAACAAAACATGGCAAATGTGAAGAAAACAAATAAAAAATAGAAATCTTAAATAAAAAATCATAATCAAAATTTCAAGAGCACTTAGGAATTTAAACTCTAATATGATGTCATGAATAACAAAGCAAGATTAAGAAACTGGCCTACAGCATAACAGAGAAGAAAAAAATTTGTTACAGAAAGTAGCTTTGGAGAAGCACCAAGGTGGCTGTAAGCATTGCTCCCTCAAAGAGGAGAGAGAGCGGCAAGTAAACTCCAGCTCTTCAAGTGGAACGTCCAGGGAACCAAGCTGGGGTTCATCAAGAGAGCAATGGCCACCATGGAGAGCAGAGAGGAGCTAGGTAGGACAGCTGCCCACCCAGGATGGGCACAGAGCCAGAGGAGGGTCCCTACTATGGGGAAAGGATAAGTGAGCCAGAGCCCTTGGGGACTCACACTTCTGTCACAGACCTTTGCAACCCTGGGCACGGGAAATCCTCCTTAGCCCCCATCTCCTGATTGACACAGAGAACTTCCTGGAGTCTGGGCAGGGCCACTGCTCAAGCCCATGTGGGCCCTATGGGCCTTGGATCCCTGTGCATCCTGGTGCCAGTTGCCATAGCCACGTCAACAAGAGGAGGCGAGCTCTCTGGAACAAGAGATGGGCGACATTTACGGTGCTAAGGAGCTGAAGGACTGCAGATCACAAGGGAAGGACCACTAGCCTGGGACCTTAGCCCTTAGCGCAGTCTGGCCACCGCCCCACTTCTGGCTTGAGAAACTCTGGCCAATCACAGCCCTGCATTTCTGTGGGACGGCGCTCCCAGACATAACTGACAGTCCCACTGCAATTCTCACTGCCGCAGTCCCTACCCCTGCTGCCCTCAGGCTGAGGAAAGAACCAAGAACCCAAGAATAGTTGTGGGCCTGCAGTATGCTGCAGCTGCCTAACAGAAAAGTAGCTAGACTGTTTTCCATGCAGGTCCTTGCCCCTCTGTCTCCTCCCCGGAGAGGACCTCCTAGCCTGGGACGCCATAGCTGCCACCCACCCGACCTGCTCACTTCAGTCAGAGAGGGCTCTGTGTTTCTGTGGGCTAGAGTTCCCAGAGACAACCGACAGGCCCTCTGCCATTGCCACTGCCAAGGTACCAGTCCTCACTTCCCCCAGGCTAGGGAGGGAACGAAGACCCTGATTGCTTTGCTGGCACCTCCAGAATGCCACAGCTGCCCTATGGAGAGGAGGCCACATTATTTTCCTGTGAACCCCTGATTTCCTTGCTCTTCCCCAGGCAGGGCCACCTGCCAGGGCCCACAATTCAGCTGCCCCACCCACACCTGGTCACCAGTCAGTGGCAGTTCTGTGTTATTCTGGGGTGCAGTGCCATAGACCACTGACAGGTCCTCTGTCACTGCAGCTGCCATGGTCCCCACCACTGCTGCCCCCAAGCAGCAGGAGAGAGCAAATAAGAGGAGAGAGAATGACAAAAAGCCTGAGCTCACCCCAGGGCTGCTCTGTACAGCTAGGGAGTGCCAAGCTGAGACCTGTAGCTGGCACTCAAGAGGGAGAGGTACCCACACTCTCAGAGCACTGAGCCAGGTGAGCCACATAGGCTTGTGGGCTACGGTGAGAGAGAGGCATGCCTCCATCCACAGGGCTCTGCAGAACAGGTGTGGCCTATCTCCCTGCTGCCGTCTCTGACCAAGGGAGCCCTGTGGCTTGGAACACCTGACAAAAGAACATGAGTGTACCAGTGATCAAAAGGGGCTTCTCCAAGGCTCACAGCGGACCTGGTGAGGAAGTCACCTCTCTCCTCACCACATCACAGAGCAGGGCCACAAATGCAAGGAAATACAAAGGAGTCAGTTGGCTGAGTGAAAGCCTATCTACCTGCCATTACTCTTAAGCACCATGTACGGAATCACAGCTGAAACTACAACACCAAAAATACTTTGCTAATATACTCCCCATGGAAAACAAAGAGCAAGAATTCGGCCACAAGTAAAGAATTTGGACAGAATTTTGGCCCTCTGAAAACACCCAGAAATGAAGCCAACTGACTATCCTCAACTTACACCACAGTTAAAGGAATACCAGTTCTCCTGGATGAGAAAGAACAGTACAATAACTCTGGCAATTAAAAAAGCCAGAGTGTCCCCTGACCTCCAAACAATTCCACTAGTTCCCCAGCAATGGTCCTTAACCAATTTGAAATGACTGAAGTGACTTACACAGAATTCAGAATCTGGATGGCAAGGAAGCTCGTTGATATTCAAAAGAAAGTTGAAACCCAATGCAAGGAATCCCGTGAAATCATCCCAGAAATGAAAGACAAAATAACCATTTTAAGAAAGAACCAACCTGAACTTGTAGAGTGGAAATAGTCACTGCAAGAATTTCGTAATAGAATCAGAAATATTAACAGCAGAACAGACCAAGCTAAGAGAAGAATCTCAGAGCTTGAAGATTACCTTTTTAAATCAACTCAGTCAGACAAAAATTTCAAAAGAATATTTAAAAATGAAAAAAATCTGAGAAATATGGGATTATGTAAACAGACCAACTCTATAACTCATTGGTATTCCTGACAGAGAAGGAGAGAGAATAAACAATTTGGAAAACATATTTGACGAAAATGTTTTCAAAATTTTGTTTCCACAAAAATTTTCCTAATCTTGTTAGAGAGGTTAAAAAAATACATAATTTTTGTACTTTCTTTTATCTTCAGATATGATTTCTTCCTTTTTTTTGTTGTTTCATTGAGGTAGTTATTTTTGTTCCCTTGGAAGATCAAATAAATTCCAAGAATTTAACAGGTTTCTGCAAGTTGTACTTTTTCTTGTACCATTAATTATTTTCCTTTTTGTAAAGATTTATTGTTTTGTTAGCCTTTCTTATACATTTTCTATATTTTCTTCTATGATTGCAGTATCATTGGTCTATTATATTTACATTTGTCTACATAGATTATTTGCTATCATTGGCCTATAAAAATAACTTGGGGCTGTCCACTGAAAGCATATTGGGACCTTTTCATGTGAATGTGAATTCATGTTGCTAGCCTTCAAATATAAAATTGCAAAGAACGTGACAAGTACATTACTGACATGTATTTCTTGTACTAATAAAAATCTCACAAATTTCTTTTTCATATTTCATATAGATCTTGCTCTTTATGTTACCTTTTTTTAGATTTCTATAGTCTATGACAGATCTCCATTTCACAGAAGTTTTTTATAAATAAGCTATAATTTTGAATTATATAGTGACATGGTATGTTCAATTATGTCTTCTTCTTAAATTTTCTCTATTATTTTACTATTTTCTTAAATCTCTAATTTATATCAGAGGATAAGTACAATTTGAGCTGGCCTGGGGAGAGGGATACCTTCCCATTTTCTCTATCCTAGCTTCATGGATCTTTTAAATTTTATTCCCTCCCATATACTTTTTTTTTTTTTTTTTGAGACGGAGTCTCACTCTGTCACCCAGGCTGGAGGGCAGTGGCGTGATCTCGGCTCACTGCAAGCACCGCCTGCCGGGTTCACGCCATTCTCCCGCCTCAGCCTCTCGAGTAGCTGGGACTACAGGCGCCTGCCACCACGCCCGGCTAATTTTGTTTTTGTATTTTTAGTACAGACGTGGCTTCACCATGTTAGCCAGGATGGTCTCGATCTCCTGACCTCGTGATCCACCCGCCTCGGCCTCCCAAAGTGCTGGGATAACAGGCGTAAGCCACCGCGCCCGGCCCCCTCCCATATACTTTTTAAATCAACCCTAATAATATTGATTCCTATAATGCATTTATTTGTGGGGACAACTATTATTTTATACTGTTTTATATGCCACCCCACAATTTGAATCCACAATTACACACCAATTTAATTATATTTTAATCATTTCCTAACATTTTTCACATTTTGTCTTTGGACATCCCAACCACTGACTCTTCGAGAGCACCTCTTTCTAACAGTGCCTTCTACATACCTTTTCCATCCATCTTAGCGTAGAAAATGCCTGGTTTAAATTTATTCTGCTAATTTCCCTTTTACTTATCAAACTTAGCTTTAAAAGTGTGGTTTTATTCCCATGGCATCATTTCCATGCATATATTAAGTATTCAATGTTTTTAGTAGCTGTTATGCTATATAGAGTTTTTTCTTTCTTCTGTAAGTTATATGGACTTCACTGATATTTTCCTAAACTATGCTGTCCCTACATTTATAGAGGTTCTGAGTATTTATTTAGACTTGGTTCATGTATTCACTTAATCACGCTTAATTTGGCTACTAATTTGATGACCGCTGGAATATTTTTTCCAAGGTCTGAGTGCTGTGGGTTATATCAGAAAATGGCTGTTCTTCATATGCTTGTAAGACTAAGGAATTTGGAACTTTCTCATTCACAGATAGGGCCTTTAATCCTTGATTGAATAATTTAGCTTTACTTCTGATTCTGTTAGAAAGACTATGTCTACCACTTTCTGATATGAATTGAGCCTCTGACAGTCCTGGCTCTTGACAGATATATATTTTGGTAGGTGTTCTAATTCTTTCCAATAATATGCCCTACTTTCTATGACTTCCTTGGGCTTCCTGCTATTTGGTATTTTTCTTTAAAATCATTGGTCTAGCTGGCTCAGCATTCCATAGGCCATCATCTAGTACACTGATTATTTTTAATACGTAGGAAGCCAAACTTAAATTCATAAGCAAAACCAAATTTTTATTGTTTTAAGACACTGAGTATTGAGGAGGTCTATTATGTATTATAATTGTAGAAATAACTAATGATACATCTATATAAAATCCTTATATGCACATTTTAAATAAATCCCATGAACTTTAATATTTAAAGTATTTAATGTGACAAATAAGCTTGTGTTTTTTTTACTAACTTGTTAATCTATCTCGCCTAGGTTGGATTGAAAAAGCACCGTTTTAGGAAACTATGTATATTTAAATTATTTCATTTCTTTTAAATAAGATGCATAGTAGATAAATCAAAGTGAAGATATTTTAAAGAAATTTCACAATATTTATTTAAAATTTTTTCCCAACTGAATTAAATAATCCCATAATTACAATAATTTATCTTGTGACATTTTAAATAAATTTAAATTACGCTTTGATAAAAGATATGAAATACAGATCAATAGATTTTCTACATCTGTATATACTTTTAATGTACATTTTAAATATTTCTATCAAAGTTCTAAGACAGTAACAATTTTTCTTAGGGTACAACACCATGTATTTTTCATACTTCAGTAAAAATTGTAATTATGTTGTGAAATGTGTCATAACAGACACATTGTTCTCCAAGCTTCTTATTTTTATTGTTGCCCTATGATCATATTTGTCATTGAAAAGCATTGTACTTTTTCTCACATGGAAGTATTAATATCATTAGAAATAATCAAGACAACAGACACTTAAGCAAGTCAGCGTGCAATTTACATCTTTAAAAACATAGGGCCAAATTGGTTTCTGGTTTTGTACCAAAAGCAGATCTCCATAAAATATTTTCCTTCAACAGTTTTTGTTTTTGTTTTTGTTTTAAGACTGAATGTAGCTCTTGTCACCCAGGCTGAAATACAATGGTGCGATCTTGGCTCACTGCCACCTCTGCCTCCTGGGTACAAGCAATTCTGCTGCCTCTGCCTCCTGAGTAGCTGGGATTACAGGCGCACACCACCATGCTGGGCTAATTTTTTTAATTTTTAGTAGAGACAGGTTTTCACCATGTTGTCCAGGCTGGTCTTGAACTTCTGACCTCAGGTGATCCACCTGCCTTGGCCTCCCAAAGTGCTGGGATTACAAGCGTGAGCCACGGCGCCCAGCCCTTTCAACAGTTATTATCCCTCAATGAGCCATGATTGTTGTTTTTGATGGGATTCCATATTATTAAATAACATGGAGAACATTCTCTAATATATTACATTAGAATTTACATAATTCACAATTTTTATGATGCCACTTAGCTCACTGTTTAGTTTAGCTGATTTTATTTTTATAGCAATAATTTCTTAATTAAGGAAGTACGAGCTCCTTAATCTGGGTAATGACTCCAGAAGGTTTCCCTGTCTTCACTATTATACCATCCAAACACATTCCAACACAAAATTTAAATTTCAAACCACTTTTATTGTCATAGAGTCCTTCATAGTTGTATATCATTTCATTGTGTTTTTAGATAATAAAGCTGAAAAAAGAAAGTCTTAGTTCATATAACCACCATGTTTGAATTGCATGTACACAAAAAGAATGGTTCTCTATTTCAAATAAATTTTTTGGTTTTATTATTCCTGTGTACAATGTCTGCATTTTCTTATGTACTGCAATCTAAAGTGTAGTTCATGGACCAATGCTTTGCATAAAATACTTGTTACTGAGCCATAACAAGTTAAGTACATAAATTAATATTAAGCACTTAGAAACTTATAGAACAGCATAGCATGTAATTAGCATATCTATCTCACTCAATGAATTACAGTTATAGAACAATTCAGGTGTTATACAATTTGCAGTAACTTACATGAACTGAGTCCAGTTGCTTGCAGTAAGTAGGACCATATTATGGCATGTGATATTTCAGAGTTGACTTCTCAGCTGTAATCTGAAAGTATATTAAAATATGAGAAAATATGGCATTTTGTCTTCTGTTTCTGAATTAGTTTGCTAAAGGATAATGGCCTCCAGCTCCATCCACGTCCTTGCAAAGACATAATACCATTCCTTTTTCTGGCTCTGTAATATTCCAAGGTGTACATATACCATATTTTCTTTATCCAGTCATTCACTGATGAGCATTTAGGTTGATTCCATGTGTTTGCTATTGTGAATAGTGCTGCAATGAACATACATGTGCATGTGTCTCTATAATAAAACAATTTATATTCCTTTGGGTATATACCAAGTAATGGGATAGTTGGGTTGAATAGTATTTCTGTCTCTAGGTCTTTGAGGAATTGCCACACTGTCTCCCACAATGGTTGAATTAATTTACATTCCCACCAACAGTGTATAAGCATTCCTTTTTCTCCACAATCTTGCCAGCATCTGTTATTTTTTGCACTTTTAAAAATAACTATTCTGACTGATGTAAAATGGTATCTCATTGTGGTTTTGATTTGCATTTCTCTAATGATCAGAGATGTTGAGCTTTTTTCATATGCTTGTTGGCTACATCTAAATGATGAGAACACATGGACACATAAAGGGAAACAATGCACACTGGGGCCTACTGGAGGGGAGAGGTTGGGAGGAGGGAGAGGATCGGGAAAAATAACTAATGGGTACTAGGTTTAATACCTGGGTGATGAAATAATCTGTACAACAAACCCCATGACTCATGTTTACCTATGTTACAAATCTGTACATCTTGTGCATGTACCCTGGGACTTAAAATAAAAGTTAGAAAAAAATAACGAATAAGACCTAGTATTTGATAGGACAAGGTGACTACAGTCAGCAACAATTTGTACTGCACTTTATATAACCGAATATAAAGTGTATAAAGTTATACACTTTATATAACTGAGAATAACTGAGGAAGTACAACTGGAATGTTTGTAACACAAAGAAATGATGACTGAAGTGATGGGTACCCCATTTACCATGATGTGATTATTACACATTGTATACCTGTATCAAAATATCTCATGTACCCAGTAAATGTATCTACACCTTCTATGTACCCATAAAAATTAAAGTTAAAAATTAAAAAAAAATTTAAAGAGTAAAAAGAAAGAAATTAAAAACATGTAGTCAATTTGTGTTTTTAACTTATAAATAATTTAAATTTTAGTCAAGCCTGGTTTTTATTATGTATGATTCACTACTATTGACTAAATTAAGGAAGTAAAATATGTTATTTTTTAATCCTAATTTAATAATGTCAAAATAAGCTTCATTAGAATTTTTGTAAAGACGTGATTTTTATGAACTCAACAATAATAATAAATGAAATAATGATAATGAAAGTGATTTTGAAGAAACAAAAATCAAAATATTTTATGCTAATTCTACTCAGAAGTATCATTCTTCACATATTAAGTTTTGTTTAGCAGCTCAAGCTGAGGAAGTACTAAAACAGTGTTATTGGTGGAGATGTACTGGTTCATAAAACTATTAAACTATCAAAATTTAAGCATCATTTACACACAAAAGATAAAAATTTAATTCCACAAACAAAATAATTACTTGAAAGGAAGGGAATGCTTAATTCAATACAATTGAAGTAAATGTTATGTCTGCTGACAGAAGCAAGTATTCAATATTTTACATGTACATGTAAGTGCTTTGTAAGCTTCTTATAAGGCAGCTCCTTATATTCTAAAACTAAAAGTCTATGTACAACTGCCAAGAAAATAGTAAAAGAGTGAAGTAAATATGTTTGTTTGAAAAAATTGGGTAAATCTGCAACAAAGAAGAATAGGGAGCTAAGGAATGTTTACCTGTTGGCAGAGTCAATATCATAAAGATACCAATTCTCTGTAAGATAATCTATAAATTCCAAGTAATTCTAAATGAATTTTGAATGAGATTTTATGAAACATGACAAGTTTCACCCAAAATTCATGCAGAAAATCAAAAGGCAAGAAGAACCCAGAACATTTTGAAAACAACATGTTTATCTACAAAATACCAGAAAACGGACAGGATCACAGACCAGTGAAACAGAATACGGTCAACCATCAGATGCCTGCACACAGAAGCCTGATATATGATAGAGGCCACATCACACATGAATCAGGAAATGAAAAGCTGTCAATAATGCTGTGACAGGCTGGGCGCAGTGGTTCAAGCCTGTAATCCTAGAACTTTGGGAGGCCAAGGCGGGCGTATCACCTGAGGTAAGGAGTTCGAGACCAGCCTGGCTAACATGGTGAAACCCTATCTCTACTAAAAGTACAAAAATTAGCCAGGCCTGATGGCGGGCACCTGTAATCCCAGCTACCTGGGAAGCTGAGGCAGGAGAACCGCTGGAACTCAGGTGGTGGAGGTTGCAGTGAGCCAAGATCGCACCATTGCACTTCAGCCTGGGCGACAAGAGCGAGACTCCGTCTCAAAAAATAAAATAATAATAATAATAATGCTGGGATACATGAGTATCAATCTCAGAAATGGATAAATTAGACCATTACCTCACAATACATAAGTTAACAAGAAATAAGTTTGCTGTGGAATATTTAAGTTTTCAAGAGAAATACAGCAGTATATGTCAGACACCAAACTACTACTAAGCTGTTTGGCTATAACCTCTTAATAAAATGAAACTATGAAAGATTTATTTTACTGTAAAAAAATTAGTGAAAAACTGAACAATTTTCAGAACTTCTGCATGACACATATGTATATGGATTAAAAACACAAATGTAAAAGGCAATAATTTAAATATTTTAGGAAAAAAGTAAGATTATATATTTTTGACTTCAGAGTTGAAAGGATTTTTCAAGCTTACACCTATAAAATATTTGGTTGCAGAATATATAAAGAATTCTTATAAATGTAAGAAAAGACAAAAACCTAATAGAAAAAACTATGAAACAAATAATTTGGAAATACTGACAGACAATTTATAGAATAAATGAAATGTTCAACAAACATGTAAATGTGATTAACCTCATGAGAAATCAATAAAATGCCAAATAACAATGAGATATGACTTCACAGACATCAATGGAAAAATGAAAATGTATGATGATACCAAATATATAAAGAAAAGAGCATCTCATGCATTGTTCTTGGAAGTATAAAATAGCTGCAACTATTGCAGGGGACTTCATGGGTTAGCTCCAGCAAATCCTGAAAGCAAGAATGACAGCATGAGGACGTGGCTCATACCCCTCTAGTTACTGTTCCTCAGTAGCGGTTCCTTCCCTGGTGGCATTTTGCCCTCACTGCGGAGCCTCTCCCTGTCAAGGTGCAACTTAGTATTTGGCCAACCAATCAAGGAGTCTCTGATGCATATTTTTTACTTCCTGTAACATTTTGTTTCTTGGATACCCTGCCTGTACATTTCAGTTACCTTAGTAATGTCAAACTCCAATTTCTATCTTTGCTCAGAGATACTATTTGCTTCCTTTGGGCTCACAAAAGTGTACTACAGCCTAAAAATATCTCCAAATAAAAAGCCAGGACCATTAATTTTTTTCCATATTCCCAGATTTTATCGTCTTGCACCATTTGTTGTCTAAAATCTAATAATAGTATTTCTCATATTTATATATATATTAAACAGATATTTTATGTATTTTATCCAGCTCAAATTTGGATATGAGAATATAATAGGAGACAATGACATTCCTTAAAATAAATTGACATCTCTGATTATATATGCATTGTAATTACCTTCTTCCTCTTAGATTTGAAACACCTAATTATGATGGTTAGTAGTTTTAGAAGATTCACTTATCTCCTAGTACATGAAGAACACTATGAATAATATAAACATGGAAACCCTCACAGATTAACTTTGTGTTGACTCTACCACATCTACATAATGGTTAATCTATCTGAACCAAGTCTTCTGAAGCAAGTCCTCTGCTCTTTAAACTGCATAAATATCCAATTAAATTAATTTATTTTTTATTTCTTTTTATCTACATTTTATAAAATTAATCTATATTTTAAATTTTATCTACATATCTAAAATATATTTACATTATAAAGTATATCTACATATTATAAAATTAGAAAATTTAAACTGCATAAAGATCCAACTAAATTTATTTTTTATTTCCATTTTATCTACATTTTATAAAATATATATGAATATATATCATATCAAAATAATATTTTCTGAATGAACACTGATAGAAATGAAAAAATAAAGGAATAACTGCCCAAAATTAAATATACAGGAATCAAAATTTTGATACATAATCAGAAAATATAATTATATTTACAGATAATCTTATATGTGAAAATTACATTGAATGTGAGAAATTAGGCACCCTATATTTGTGTTTATAAAAGAAAATATTAAGTTGTTTTTGTTTAATTTATATTTGCTCACTTTGCAGTTACAGCTAATGCTATTAATATATGTGGTTAAAACTTTTCATTAATTTGACAAAAAGGATAATAGGTAATAAGAATGTTTTGTTTCGTTTACCAAGAAAAAGAAACTACAACTGTACAAGCAGTATAAATTTAATCAAATATTTAAATTATTGCCTCACTTTAGGACAGAGAGAAACATTAGGGCAAAGTTGTAATTGCATATCTGGCAATATACATAGCAATTTATTGGACATGCAGTTTAATAATAAATGACACTGAGATTAATCTAAAAGATATGATACTAAATCATTGATTTGAATCATTTAATTTGACTGTGTCATGATTAATGGCATTAGATAAATGTTTATCTAAGGTGTATATTACTTTAGGTCATTCTAATATACCTAGTTTGATAAGAACTTTTGATTAACTTATAATTTATGTCTTTTAAAATCAATTCTGAAATAGTTTTTTAATCTAAATAAATTATCATGTGGAAATCAATAGACAATCTGTAACAAACAAATGGTGTATCAATATATTTTGTTATTGTGTGTGTTCCTCATTTTTGTTGATAGTAGATTTGAATGTGAACATTTGATTCGGTATATAAAACACCCCATGCCTACAATTTAGGGCTCAGAACTCTTTTGAAGAACTATCTAGCCTGTTGACATGGTTTTTAACACAATCTTTGGTGACCTGTAATCAACCTAGGCCTTAGAACACTGAAAGAAAACTGAAGGAATAAAATAGTATAGAGCACTACAGAGCCATATGGAACCTCAAAATTTGTGGAAGGCTGAAAATGAGCATGAAAGTTTGGATTAAAACAATAGGGTTGTTGAAAGTCTTCTAAGAAGCAGTTACGTCCCCTTAACACTAGATTCAAAGAAACAAGTAGATCCCCATATCACTAGAATCTTTGTGGCAGAGTGAAATGTTCCATCTTACCAAACAGAAAACAAGGAAGAAAGTAAAGCACAGTGGCTCTGTATTGGAAGACACCAGGCAGCATGGGGATGTCACACTGGAAAGAGGGGAAGTGAGAGTCTACATGCCCCATGGTAATCCACTCAGCTCCCAGAAACGGACAGATCATTTTGAACCTGGAATATTCTTCCCTGAGAAATCTGATCAGCTGTAGTAAAGTCCATGTTTAACCAGTGGCACTCATGTGTACAGAATTCTAATAAGTTACTTAATGCCTATTCATAAATATGAACAGAGCACCATGATAACCAGACATTTCAGAAAAACCTCTTTTATAAAAGAGACCAAAATAAACAAATATAAGAACAGCAATTTGAGGAGAAAGGTTATACAGGTTGAAGTAATTAAAAAAAAACTATCACTAATTAATGAATGAGACAGAGAGATTTTCCTTCATTGAAACAAGAATGGAATACAAATTTACAAATTTTTAAAAACTCAGAAAACTAAAAGTCCTCTTAGAAATTAAAATATAAAAATGAAAACAGAGATGACAAATTCAAATGAAAAGAGAAAAAGATAAATTTGAAAAATCTTTCAGAAAGTAAAGCAAAAACACTTTTTGTTTTTGGAAAATAGAGGAGAGTTTCACTTGAAGAATGAGCTAGTAGAATAACAAATTCTGAATATAGTGCTCCAGAAACAGAAATGAAACACACACACACACACACACACACACATACACACACACACACACACACACACACACTAAACTAAGAAAAATTTCCACATTTGAAAGGCAAGAGTTTCCAGATTCAAAAACCCACTGATTGTCTAGCACAGTAGATGAAAACATCCATTTATCAAGGCATACCCCTCATAAAATTTCAAAACACTGGAGACAAACTATACTACAATTCTTCAGAGAGAGAGAGAATTGGATCATAGAAGAGTATGATTAGGAAGAAGAGTCTCGGTATTATTCCATAGCTAATTTCTGTTACATGGACTATCTTACTGTTAGGATTTAAATTAAAAATCTAATAGATCATTTTTATCTTTGTCTTCTACATAGAACATTTTCCTATATTAGAACACTACTTAGAATTCCACAAACTAGTCTTATTCCTGTAGAATGACACCTGGCATTAACTGATGTTAATGAGTCTATTTGTCGAACAAAGCTAGTGGAAAAGAGATATAACAGAATAATGAGAAAAAAAAATCAGATGCAGAAGTTCAAGCTGAAGGAGAATTGTTCATTGATATTTACATTTTGCTATAATTCCTTGAGAGTATCCTCAACTGTTTGGATGAGTTTTAAAACTCTCTGTGTAGGAAGTGTATTCCAAAATATTCATGGGGAAATGGCACATTGTAAGCCTTCGTGAGAATCTGTGTAAAAAAGAAATAAAGGAAGGAAATAACAAAGGAATAAGCGGGAACCAGGCATTGTGGCTGACACCTGTAATCCCAGAACTTTGGGAGGCTGAAATGGAGGTATGGCTTGAAGCCACGAGTTTGAGACCAGCTGGGCAACATAGTGAGATCCCATCTCTACAAAATATTCAACAATTACCCAGGTATCGTGGTGCACACCTGTAGTCCCAGTTACTTGAGAGGCCAAGGCAGGAGGATCGCTTGAGCCCAAGAGTTAGAGGATGCAGAAAAATCAAGAGAAATTCTAGATTGGTTCCAAATCTCGAATCTTCTGACTTCCAGGTGGACAAAACACACAAGTAATATCCAGGTGTACAAAACATACAAGTAATAAAATCATTGTGCTATTTTCAAAATCGTATAACGAAATGATTAAATCAGCTTTGTGGAATTTTTCCTTTTCTATGTTTATTTCTTCTATAAAATCACGAGGGTTTTTAACTTAAAAAGAGATATCAATTAGCTGAGCTGGAAAATCAGGAATTCAGCAGAATACAATACAAAATCTAAAGACCTGGTAAAACTGTATAGATTCCACCATTCTAAAATCTCCATGCAGTGTTTTGGGTTCAAGTTCTAGTACCTAGTGATTTTTGGAGATGAAAATCATCTGACAAAAATCCAATATGTATTAATGATGATAAACTCCCAGAAAATAGGAATATAGGGGACATCCTCAATTTGGTAAAGAACATCTACAGAAAACCTACAGCTAACATCACATCATACTTGATGGTGAGAAATTAAATGCTCCCTTTAGGAGTAGGAACAAAGCAAGGATGTCTTCTTTCAGCACTCTTATTCAATATCATATTGGAAATCTTAGATGATACAGTAAGACAAACAAAAAAGGTATAAAAAGTGTATGGATTGGGAAAGAAAAAATAAAGTTTTTATTCAAAGAAGAAATTATTGTTGATTAAGAAAATCCCAAAGAATTGACAGAAAGGAAAGAAAAGTATTTCCTGGAAGAAATAATGAGTTTATTAAGGTCACATGACACAAGGTTAGTATTGTAATGTTACTTTGTAATATTGTAATAATTGCATTCCCATATACAAGCAATGAACAATTGGAATTTGACATATGAAAAGCAATTTAATTTACAATGACACCCCTAAAATTATGTAGTAAGTATAAATTTAACAAAATATGTACCATACCTATATATTAATAACTATGTATGAAAAAATAAAGAATGTGAAGAGATAGTCCTTGTCCTTGTGTATGGATTGGAAGACTCAAATTTGTTAATATGTCCATTCTTCTCAATTTGATCCACAAATTTGAAAAGACCTCAATCAAAATCTTAGCAAGCTATTTCAGAGATACTGAAAAATTGATTCTTAAGTTTATATAGGCAGGAAAAGACATAAAGTAGCCAATAAAATATTGAAAAAGAGCAACATAGTATGAGAACTCACATTACCAAATTTCAAGACTTACTATAAGGCTACAATAATCAAGACAGCATGGTATTGGTGAAAGATCAGACATATAGATCAATGGCACAGAATAGAAAGCCTGTGAATATATCTACACAAATATAGTTTTTATGAGTTAAATTGTGCTTCCCCAAATTCCCACAGTGACGTATTAATCCCTATTTCCTCAGAACGTGACTGTATTTGGAGTCAGAGTCCTTACAGAGGTAATTAAGTTAAAATGAGGTCATTAGGGTGGGCCTTAATTCAGTATGACAGGCATCCTTCTAAAAAGAGGAAATTTGGACCAGACATGAGCAGAGAGAAGTTGACATGAAAACACTGGAGTAAGATGGCCATCCTCAAACCAAGGAGGGAGGCCTGAAATACATACTTCCCCCATGGCCCTCAGAAGAAACCAACCCTGCTAACAGCTTGATCTTGGACTTGTAGCCTCCAGAACTGTGAAGAAATGTATTTACATTGTTTAAGCCACCTAGTCTGGGGTACCTTGCTGTGATAGCCCTCACAAATTAACATTGTATTAATATGTAATTAATATTTTACAAAGGAGCAAAGGTGAAAAGAGGAAGGGTAGTCTTTTCAACAAACGGTGCTGGAAAATTTCGATGTCAGTATGCAAACTAATGAACTTCATCCAGACTTTACACCTTACATAAAAATTAATTCAAAATGAATCCTGAAATAAATGCAAAATGTACAACTACAAAACTTCTTGAAAAACATAAAAGAACATGTACAGGACCTTGAGTTTAGTGATGCCTTTTCCAAATAAAATATCAAAAGTAAAATTCAGGGGAAAAATCTGATAATTTTAGTTTTATTAAAATTAAAAACTTTGCTCTAACAAAGACCCTATTAAGAGAATGAAAATATCAGTCATAGACTAGGTACAAATATATGCAAAGCATATAACTGATAAAGGACTTTTATCCAAAATATAAAAATAACCCTTAAAACTCACCAATAAGTAAACAAGCAAATCTAATTTAAAAATGGACAAAGATCTGAACACAGATTTCATCAATGAAGATACACATATCGTAAATAGCATATGAAAAGATGCATACTATCATATGTCATTAGGAAATTGCAAATTAAAACAATGATGAGTACCTTATTATGGCAGCTAAAAACTCTAACACTGCGAACTGCTAGCTAGGTTACAAAATAATAGAGTATATATTAATTGATGATAAGAAAGAAGAATGGTACAGCAACTTTGGAAGGTGGCTTGGCAATTTATTATAAAAGTTGACATAGTCTTACCATATGATCCAGCAATCACACTCCTAGGCTTTTACCCAACTGATTTGAAAAGCTGAACATGAATCTGCACACAAATGTTTATAAAAGCTTCACTTGTAATCACCCAAATATGGAAGTAACCAAAGCATCCTTCAAAAGTTGAATAGAAAAACAAAATTTGTTGCATTCTGTATAATGGAATATTATCGACATTAAAGAGAAATACGCTATAAAGCCATGAAAAGACACAGACAAATCTATAATACACATTGCTATGAAATAAACCAGTCTAACAAAGCTACATAGTATATGATGTCAATTATATTCTGGAAAAGGCGAACTACAAAGACAGAGAACAGATTAGTGGTTACCAGGGATTCAATATGCAGTCAGAGTAGGGTTAGGTAGGTGAAGCACATAGACATTTTAGAACAGTGAAACTATTTTATGTGATATTATGAATAAAAGACGTTAGACATTTGTCAAACCCATTGAAATGAAAGCATGAAGAATAAACCTTAATAAATGCAAATTTTAAGAAATAATTTTTAACAGATTAGGGGATTGCAGAATAAAAGGCAGAATAGGACAAAATAATCTAAATGTATTAGAAATTTATAAAACAACTTCACTGAAGTGGATGAAAGACTAAGTTGATGGCCTAAGTAACTTTGGAAATGAGTGGAGTCTATATAACCCTAAAGGCAAAAAGAACTGTACATAATTTCTGTACTCTATTGATATAGTGTTTCCCTTGAGGCTAACTCTATGCATAAAGCAAATATCCATGAATTAATACTGATATAAATAAGTGATTGATACACTTATACAAATAAATGGAGAGAAGAGACAAGTCTCCATAAGAATTCCAAATAATTTATGCAGATATTCTACCTTTAAGAATTACAACATAACTTCCGACTTCTAAAGTGAGGACCGCGGATAGTGACTTTCTTCCAGAAAGTACAGTATAGAAAAAAGGGAACCTCACAAACACAACCTGAAAGTTAACATCAACAGTAATAAGTCATATTGATAATATGGATACCGCAGATATGTTGTGATGAGAATGACACTGTACCTCTGCGGCCTCTCACACAAGAACACATTACCCCAATATAATCATTTAAAAGTCAGCAAAATCTCATTTGAAGGACATTTGATAAAATATTTGGTCAATAATCATGAAATCTGTTAAGGTCATCAAATCAAGGGAAATCGGAGAAATGGTCACCACCAAGAAGAGCTTAAGAAAACATGACTACTAAATATAATGTGGTATCTCGGTTGAGATCCTGAAACAGAAAAAGGACATTAGGAAAAACTGAGCAAATGTGAATAAAGTATGGACTTAGTTAATAATAATGTATCAATACGGGATTGTTGTGATGAATGTGCCATAGTACTATAACATGTTAATAACAGGGAAACTGGGTATAGGATACAGGAGAACTTTCTGTACTATCTTCATAATAAATCTGTAAATCTAACACGATCCTTAAAAAAAGTTTATTTTAAAAAGAATGAAAAGGGAAACTAAATACGAACTAGAGAACATCAACAATAACAATTAAAATGTAACTTCATGCAAGAAAATATAAACTAAAAAAAATCAGGGAAGAATGAATAAATGCATCAGAGCACAGAATATTTATAACAGGAATGTAAAATAGGACAGTGATACTGATACTTACAAATTAACAAGAGGAAATGTGATACATATACACAATGGAATATTATTCTGCCATAAAAAGAATGAAAATCTGCCATTTACAACAACATGGATGGAACTGAAGGACATTAAGTGAAATAAGCAAGGAATGTTCTCACTCACATGTGGAAGCTAAAAATAATTGATCACATAGAGATAGAGAATAGAATTATGGTTATCATAGGCTGGAAAGGGTAGTGGGGAGGAGGGAATTAAGAGAGCTTGGTTAACGGATACAAATATACTTAGAATAAATAATATCCTGAGTTCAGTAGCACAATGGGGCAACTACAGTTAACAATAATTTATTGTATATTTCAAAATAGCTATAATATTGCATTTAGAATGTTCCTAACACAAAAATGATAAATGCTTGAGGGGATGCCTATCCCAAACATTCTAATTTAGTGATTACACATTGTATGTATGTATCAATATTTCACATGTACCCTATAAATATGTACAACTACTATGTAACCGTAAAATATTTAAAAATTTAAAATGAATATATAAAAGTAAGATCTCATGAGTAACTTGATATGACTATATCTGAAAATTTAAGAAAAATTTAAAAATAAGTTTAAAAACAAGCAAAACTAAACAAGATTACTTAAAAATGAAAGACGTATTCATGTTGCTTAGAAATGAAGACATGGGGAGTAAGCCATAAATATCTAGCATGGATGATATTATCAAAAGTGTCAGGATAACGCTATCTTGAGAAGAAGGAAAATAGAATCATGAGGCAATGGGGCACAGTGAAGAGCTGGCTATGTTTCATTTCTTGACATGGGTGGTGGTTTCTATGATGTTTTCTTTCTAATTATTCTTATTTGTATTTATCTATTCTTAATTATTATTTATATTATACGTATGTTTTATGTGTATATATGATATATCTCATAAATTTAAAAAAATTCTGGCTATAATATGTAATATAGATAGAATTAGGCAAGGCCGGAAGCGCAGGCTTTATTTGAGAGAGTTACACAATGATCTGGTTGAGAGAAAATTAAGATCTGAGCAAACTGTAAGGACTATGTCTTTGCCTCTGCATGCTACATGTGCTGCACCTCCAAGGGGAATCATTGACTTAGAATTTGATGTGCTTGGTTTCCTTGGAACTCTGCAACACAGTGAACCTGTCTAATGAGAGGGAAATTAATTAATTCAATGAGAATAGATAAACTGCATTTGAAAGATATAATTAAGGCTGTTGGGGCTTAACGAAATATTGTAAAAGCTTATCATAGGATATAAAGGCAAAATAACAAAATTTTGCCTCACTAAAAGCCTCTCTTCTACTGATTCTCTTTTTGAATGGTTTTGCTTTCCTCTTTCTGCTACCCACCAGATGATGCTTTGCTGAGATAACTTTATACTTTTAACTTCAATTATTATGTTTTTTCTTCAATTATATTCCACCCACATAAACATCTTCATGAACATTTTATTATATCCTTTTGAGCACTCATGATGATCCACATATATTTGCTGGTCACCAGTATTTCCCTTTTGCTTCATCTGTCTAGTGAGAGATTGATCTGTTCAATGACAACAAAGAAATAGGTGTTTTCTTATTTCATATAAGTCTTAACTGAGTATTTCTGCTATGGATGTTATAGTGTTCATAAAAATACATACACACAAGGCTGGGCGTGGTGGCTCACGCCTGTAATCCCAGCACACTGGGAGGCCGAGGTGGGTGGATCACGAGGTCAGGAGATCAAGACCATCCTGGCTAACACAGTGAAACCCCGTCTCTACTAAAAATACAAAAAAAATTAGCCGGGCATGGTGGCGGGCACCTGTAGCCCCAGCTACTCGGGAGGCTGAGGCAGGAGAATGGCATGAACCCAGGAGGCGGAGCTTGCAGTGAGCTGAGATCCTGTCACTGCACTCCAGCCTGGGTGACAGAGGGAGACTCAAAACAAAACAAAACAAAACAAAACAAAACAAAACAAATACATACACATAAAAAGAAGTTTTGGTGGAACAAATTTCATGAGGTATAATTGATTACTCCCAGATTTCTAATGTGGAAGACAGCATGGATATAGAGAACGCAGGAAAATTATCATCTTTAGAAGAGAAAACTGTGGCCAGGCATGGTGGCTCGTGCCAGTATCACAGCACTTTGGGATGCCAAGGCGGGTGGATCACCTGAGGTCAGGAGTTCGAGACCAGCCTGGCCAACATGGGGAAACCTCTTCTCTACTAAAAATACAAAAATTAGCCAGGCATGGTGGCACACACCTGTAATCCCAGCTACTTGGGAGGCTGAGGCAGGAGAATGGCTTGAACCTGAGAGGCAGAGGTTGCAGTGAGCCGAGATTGCGCCACTGCACTCCAGCCTGGGTGACAGAGCGAGACTCCAACTCAACAAAATAAAAAATAAAATAAAAAGAAAAAGAGAAAACTGTGAGTTCAGTTGGGACATTGTTTAATTCAGTGTTTTCAACCAAGGCTGAATTTTGTCCCCTCAGGTGACACATGGCAATGTCTAGAAACATGTTTAGTTGTAAGAACTGTGAGATGTCCTACTGGCATGTAATGTGCAGAGGCCAGGGATGTGGCAAAACACCCTACAGTGCACAGTACAACCTCCCACAACACAGAATGACAACCTAAAATGTCAATAGTGCAGAGATTTAACAACCCTAGTTTAATTTGAGGTGGCTGTGAAGAAGTCTAATAAGAGATTTGATGTGCATATCTGAAGCTCAGGAGAGAGATCTGGCTGAGAACTGTATCTGCTGACTACTAAAGAAGTAGCTCTGTAGCAATTGATCCCTTCTCTATTTCCATATATTAACTCTCAAAAAGTTTATTGACAATTCTGTGCCCTAGTCTAGAGTATGAAATCACCCAGCTGGTGAGAAGGTTTTAAAGAAATATTTTGCACTTCAAAAACATTTTCCCTTTAGGTTTATTTTAAAATAGCAACAAATGACAGTCCCTCAAAAAGCTTTGAATGGGACTAGAGGAAATTATGAAAATTGTTAATACAACACAAGGCTTAATTATTGACCATTTTAGTGAACGGTTTTTGCAAGTATATAGTTTTGGTTCCGGCATTTAAAAAATCCATTTATCCGGACAGAAATTGTTAGGATTTTCACCAGGTTCTGTTCTCTATTCAACTGGAAATGGAGAAATAGTTGTAGTTGCTTTAAAAGAACATTCCTGTCAGCCTGCACTCATGACTTCCCTTGTACATGACATGTATTCATTTGTGATAAAATAATTTGATTTGCATCTTCAAGAGATACCCAAAGAGAGAATGTTAGGATGCCACACATTCATCTACTTTTTTTAACATAATGATCCTTTTGGAAGACAGGTTTTCATGTAGATTTCTGCAGGCTTTCTCTGGTGAAAACCTACTTTGTCATTTCTGTCAAGTGTTCCCTGCTTGATGGGTTTTTGTGTGTGGGTGATTGTTTCCATGGATCTGCAGCAACTAACAGCTCCTTCAAGATGTTGCTGTCCTTGTTTCATTTCTCACTGTTTAAAAGGAGATATATTTGTTGTCATGTTCTGAATAAGCTCAAGAACCTCTGAAAAGTGACCTTTGATATAGTAAACAGACCTCTTATTTTTATTTGATCATTCAATTAAATTTTCATCCTAGACTCAAATCAATTTGTGCTTTAGGAAATAAAGATTTTCTCAAGATTTCTGGGCAAAGATGTCCATGGCATGCATATGGACACACAGACACCTGTATACAAACCTAAATATTTAACAATAAAAAATTGAAAAGTAAGATACAAAATTGTGCAACCATTAAAAATGTCTATTTGTGTGTTTTTAAATTAACTGCTAAAGAAGTATAAAGTGGCAAATTATAACTATACATCTCTGTAAATTACACAAAGTAAGCACATTCATGTAACCATAACCACAGAAAATGGAATATAACCAGTATTTTTAATATAAGAATTCCTCATCTTCATAGTCAGTCTAAAGGAAGGAGGAAGACTTAAGCCCAGGAGATCAAGGCTGTAGTGCAATGGTATAGTGCCTGTGAATAGCTACTGCACTCAAGTCTTGGAAACAGACCTCGTCTCTAAAAAAATAAATAAATTATAATGAAGATTTCATTTTTTCTGTTTTATACTGCTAATTTTCCCCCTTTTTCCGTTTTCTTAATTTTGCTAGTTGATCAAACTATTATTCATTTTCCCTATCTCCCAGGGAAATATGGGATTTCTTCTGTTCTTTGCAATTCCATTGCTTTTCTATATATCATCATCAAATGCACATATACCAAAAACAAGCATCTTCAATGTTTTGTCAATAACATAACTGAAATGTCTGGCACATAGTGCACACCCAAAAAACGCCTCTAGGATTAATGAATATATCAGTATTATTATATAAATATAAAATATCCTATACTTTGCATCACCAAAGGCTCTGTTCTCTTGATTCCCTTTTAATGCTTTCAATGCTCCATTTCTGCCACCCACCAGATTATACTTTTGTTGAGATGTTTCTACTTTTAATTTCAATTGGTATTTTCCTTGCACTATGTCTTCTCTACATCAAGCATCCTCATGTAACATTATATTACACCATTCCAGTCATTTATCACGATCCTTATATATTTATCATTCACCAGTATTTCCTCTCTGCTTCATCAGTCCCATATTAAAGTGTCTTTTGATTTACTGATTATAAACCTCATTTTGGTATTTTCCTTGATGGGTGATGCAGTCTCTAAATTCCTCCCAAAGTAAATCTATATCTCCTTCATTCTGGCTGTTAAATGATATCTCAGCTGGAAATAGAATTTTTGAGTGGCAGCAATTCTCTCCCACAGTATTCTTGCTTCCAGTGTTGTTGATAAGACACCTATGCCAAACTAACTCTTCATTTCCCTTTAAGAAGCTTTCTTTAATCTGGAAGTTGATGACATTATCATTATAATTATAGACTTAATAAATTTTATCAGGATAAGCATCAATTCTGCTTAAGACAAGAGATTTTCTTCTCCAATTTTTAACTTTTCAAGTTTTCCTATTATTTTCTTTTTTCTTACAGATCTTTACAAATCTCATATTTTTGTATTCAGAAATTCCATTTCTTTTCCTATTTGCTCTCTCTAAAATTTCAATATTCAAAATTCACAGAGTATTTTGTTTCCCAATAGCTTTGGTTGCTGTAATCAAATCCACTAAAATTGTTTATTCACTTATTTATCGGCTTAAAGCCTGCCCTGTCCAGCAAGTCTATTTCACCAGGAACTGGATGTTTTGCTTATTGTTTCTCCTTCAAGTTGCTGAGTACTTCCAGTAGAATTATTATTTTTCTTTACTTATTTCTAATGTATATTTGGATTTATGTTTGGCTTCTTCTGAAATTACAGTAAGCCTGAGATTACTCTGTACACTAGCAACAAACCTTTCCTCTGTTAAATAAATTTTGAGGGAGGTCATTATATTGGAATGAGCTTCTGCACTAAGACCCAGTGAACCAGAACAAACAATGGATTTACTTGTGCTAGGTACCATGTAGTCCAACTGAACTTTAAACTGAGCTAGTTTTTCAAAAACAGGAAATTCACAGCAACCAATTATAAAAGGCCCTGTCTTTCTAAGCTGCATGACAAGAATGTTCCTTCTACTTTAACCCTGTAAAAACAAGTAACTCTGGAACAGTTTTCTTTTTGTTCCCTATTTCTGATTCTTAGCCTCTTTCTGCTGATAAAGCCCACTTCCACTGCTCAGCTTATTGGAGTACATTTTTGATTTATAAATGAGATGCTGCCCAATTCAGGAATTACTAATAAAAGCCAATGCAATCTTTAAACTCAATTTCTTGAAAGCATGTTCTTTGACACTTTCCAGTTCCCAGTTCTCTTCGGGGGCAGGTAAATATTATCCATCAGCCTCAGGAATAGAGAAGATTCAGTTACAGATTCAAATTTTCAGCAGCCACACTAAGCCCAGGAGACCACAAGGTCCTCCCAGGAACATGGATCCAGGCTGGAGCTACCCTCTTTCCTCTCAGGGACCGAGGGATGTCAGAGCACCAAGCTCTCTGCAGACTCCATGCAGTTCTGATGATTGCTACCAAACTCACTGCTGAACACCAAGCTCTCTGTAGGCCCAGAAAGGAACAAGCCCAGTGCCTGATTTCTCATTCAGGAACCTGGTAACACCAGAATATTTTTTTCAGGTCTCACAGCCTTGATTGGCTGCTTCAGAAGCTGCTTCACAAATTGAAGTTAGGAGTTGTGGGGCTGACATTTGGTTAGGAGAATAGCAGGTCACATTCAGGAAGATACCTTTCCATATTTCTCTTACCTTGTTTCAAAATGATCATTTATACCTTCATTACAAAAAAAAACTAAGATTATACTCTTTTTGTTAGGGTAGTAATGATAATATCACAGAAAAAAATGTTATGCTACACCAGAGAAAGTTTCCAGGATTTGGCTAAACATGGTTAGCACTACTCCCCTAAATTATTCTAATAAGTTCCGATGGAATTGTTACGCTTCATATTAAGATTATTATTATACCTCATAAGCAGAATAGAATTAAAATGTATAAATTGTTCTATTTAAAATATCTTGGTGTGTGATATACTACAATGTCCTTACTAAAATAAAAATTATACATTTCACTATCAATAAAAACAAAATAATGGAAACTATTTTTTAATTAAGTTGGTACATACGTAACAGAGAGTGACACTTCTATAGCTTTCTAAATGCAAACAGGTGACTCTATAGCAGAAACCAGCATTTGTGCCTTATTATTAATTTAGCATAAGTGGCCAATGTAGTTTGGATACAGAGATGACCCTTCAGGTTTCTAAACTGTACAGAAGAGTATGGTGATAAACTCATAGATTAGAGGACTTGAAAATGAATCCAGGACAAAATTAAAATGCCTTGAATTTTTGTTATTGAGATAGGTTAGTATTAACACTTGTTAAAGACTGAACAAATGTAGAAAAAAGAAAAAAACAGAGACCAATAACATATTTAGGATACCACTGTGTTTACATTTCAATAATCAAAACTAAATATTTGATTTATACATATAACTTGTATTCTTAGAAAAAATAGTAGTTTATAGCTGAATTAAACCAATAAAGATTATTTTTAACAACTGTATTCTCAAAATATAGAAATTTAAAGTATTATGTTATAATAGGATTTCTTATATTCTGTTTGTAAATTTAAAATGTGGATACTCATTTAAACTTGATTCTTAACCCCCATACTACATTTCCGTAGTTTGCATTTGTGCATCAGTTATATAGAACAATGCTTCTCAAACTTTAATGTGAACATGATCACCTGGGAGCTCACTAAAATACAGATCCTTATCCTAACAAGCTCCCAGATGATATTGATGCTACTGGAATATGGACCACACTTTGTCAAAATAGGGAACCTTTTGATCCCACTACATATGTCTTAACTCAATGCACATGAAGATAAAGTTAGTAGTTTAGGAATACGAAAATTTGTAACTGGTAGATTTTTTAAACTTAATTTAATTTAATTTTATTATTATTATACTTTAAGTTTTAGGGTACATGTGCACAATGTGCAGGTTAGTTACATATGTATACGTGTGCCATGCTGGTGTGCTGCACCCATTAACTCGTCATTTAGCATTAGGTATATCTCCTAATGCTATCCCTCCCCGCTCCCCCCACCCAACAACAGTCCCCAGAGTGTGATGTTCCCCTTCCTGTGTCCATGTGTTCTCATTGTTCAATTCTCACCTATGAGTGAGAATATGCGATGTTTGGTTTTTTGTCCTTGTGATAGTTTACTGAGAATGATGATTTCCAATTTCATCCATGTCCCTACAAAGGACATGAACTCATCATTTTTTATGGCTGCATAGTATTCCATGGTGTATATGTGCCACATTTTCTTAATCCAGTCTATCATTGTTGGACATTTGGGTTGGTTCCAAGTCTTTGCTATTGTGAATAGTGCCGCAATAAACATATGTGTGCATGTGTCTTTATAGCAGCACGATTTATAGTCCTTTGGGTATATACCCAGTAATGGGATGGCTGGGTCAAATGGTATTTCTAGTTCTAGATCCCTGAGGAATTGCCACACTGACTTCCACAATGGTTGAACTAGTTTACAGTCCCACCAACAGTGTAAAAGTGTCCCTATTTCTCCACATCCTCTCCACCACCTGTTGTTTCCTGACTTTTTAATGATTGCCATTCTAACTGGTGTGAGATGGTATCTCATTGTGGTTTTGATTTGCATTTCTTTGATGGCCAGTGAAGGTGAGCATTTTTTCATGTGTTTTTTGGCTGCATAAATGTCTTCTTTTGAGAAGTGTCTGTTCATATCCTTCGCCCACTTGTTGATGGGGTTGTTTGTTTTTTTCTTGTAAATTTGTTTGAGTTCATTGTAGATTCTGGATATTAGCCCTTTGTCAGATGAGTAGGTTGCAAAAATTTTCTCCCATTTTGTAGGTTGCCTGTTCATTCTGATGGTAGTTTCTTTTGCTGTGCAGAAGCTCTTTAGTTTAATTAGATCCCATTTGTCAATTTTGGCTTTTGTTGCCATTGCTTTTGGTGTTTTAGACATGAAGTCCTTGCCCATGCCTATGTCCTGAATGGTAATGCCTAGGTTTTCTTCTAGGGTTTTTATGGTTTTAGGTCTAACGTTTAAGTCTTTAATCCATCTTGAATTAATTTTTATATAGGGTGTAAGGAAGGGATCCAGTTTCAGCTTTCTACATATGGCTAGCCAGTTTTCCCAGCACCATTTATTAAATAGGGAATACTTTCCCCATTGCTTGTTTTTCTCAGGTTTGTCAAAGATCAGATAGTTGTAGATATGTGGTGTTATTTCTGAGGGTTCTGTTCTGTTCCACTGATCTATATCTCTGTTTTGGTACCAGTACCATGTTGCTTTTGTTACTGTAGCCTTGTAGTATAGTTTGAAGTCAGGTAGCATGATGCCTCCAGCTTTGTTATTTTGGCTTAGGATTGACTTGGTGATGCGCGCTCTTTTTTGGTTCCATATGAACTTTAAAGTAGTTTTTTCCAATTCTGTGAAGAAAGGCATTGGTAGCTTGATGGGGATGGCATTGAATCTATAAATTACCTTGGGCAGTATGGCCATTTTCACGATATTGATTCTTCCTACCCATGAGCATGGAATGTTCTTCCATTTCTTTGTATCCTCTTTTATTTCATTGAGCAGTGGTTTGTAGTTCTCCTTGAAGAGTTCCTTCACGTCCCTTGGTAGTTGGATTCCTAGGTATTTTATTCTCTTTGAAGCAATTGTGAATGGGAGTTCACTCATGATTTGGCTCTCTGTTTGTCTGTTGTTGGTGTATAAGAATGCTTGTGATTTTTGTATATTGATTTTGTATCCTGAGACTTTGCTGAAGTTGCTTATCAGCTTAAGGAGATTTTGGGCTGAGACAATGGGGTTTTCTAGTTATACAATCATGTCATCTGCAAACAGGGACAATTCGACTTCCTCTTTTCCTAATCGAATACCCTTTATTTCCTTCTCCTGCCTAATTGCCCTGGCCAGAACTTCCAACACTATGTTGAATAGGAGTGGTGAGAGAAGGCATCCCTGTCTTGTGCCAGTTTTCAAAGGGAATGCTTCCAGTTTTTGCCCATTCAGTATGATATTGGCTGTGGGTTTGTCATAGATAGCTCTTATTATTTTGAGATACGTCCCATCAATACCTAATTTATTGAGAGTTTTTAGCATGAAGGGTTGTTGAATTTTGTCAAAGGCCTTTTCTGCAATTCTACTGGAGGTACAAGGAGGAACTGGTACCATTCCTTCTGAAACTATTCCAATCAATAGAAAAAGAGGGAATCCTCCCTAACTCATTTTATGAGGCCAGCATCATCCTGATACCAAAGCCTGGCAGAGACACAACCAAAAAAGATAATTTTAGACCAATATCCTTGATGAACATTGATGCAAAAGTCCTCAATAAAATACTGGCAAACCGAATCTAGCAGCACATCAAAAAGCTTATCCACCATGATCAAGTGGGCTTCATCCCTGGGATGCAAGGCTGGTTCAATATACGCAAATCAATAAATGTAATCCAGCATATAAACAGAACCAAAGACAAAAACCACATGATTATCTCAATAGATGTAACTGGTAGCTTTTATGTATGAAGACTGTTTATATTTGAGTTTGGAAAGAAACATTCTGGAGCAAATAATAGTTGATCTAGGTAACGTTAACCTTCTCTTCTGTATTGCAGTTAATAACAGAATAAGAAGAACATTAATTTAAAAATCAAAGTGGAGAATGACTGAAGGAAATGTCCGTTGTTAATTTTCTTAAAATATAAAATAGAGTCATTTCTGCTAACAAATACTTTTATCAAAATGTAATCTCATCTGAAAATCTGGGGCAATTGCACTATGGAAAATGCTTGGAAAATTTTCTTCCAAATCTCTGTTTTTTAGATTAAGACTGGCATGTGAAAAGGCGAATGCCACTTGACTTTTATTTTTTTATACTGGGTATTCTACTGTGCTGTATAATTGAAGGTCTGCACAAATTGAAGGTCTGCACAACTAATAAATGGTTAGTTGAATGATAACACTGGCTCCTTCATTTTCTTACTATGGTGATGTGCTAAAGCTGTGTGACTTTTGTTTCTTCTAATGGCAGTCATGCAGTTCAATCGCACAAGATTTTTGAAAATCATGTAAAGAAAAAGCTGCACTTTCTGTTTTCCTGCCAAGTTGTGTTACAATACTCCATTATGCATTGGCATTTCAATGGGAAAGCTAGATAATAAATATACTCTGTAGGTGTGGTATTTCAAATCCCACTTGGCTTAGAATATGCTGGGGAGCTAAGGGTATTATTTACTGAACAGTTCTAAAATGGTTCCCAGCAATGCATTGTTGTTGGCACTTTGTCTTTCCTAACCACCTAGTAAAATGTGTTTTGTTTTATAGTAAAGGTATATTAAAATTACCTTTCAGTCCCTGTAAAAACAAAGAAAGCCAATTCTGAATCCAGGAACAAACATTTAACTGCCTAAAAGGCCTGTCACCTTATGTTTACCTTTGTCTATTCTCTGGGGTAGAGGTCCTATATGTATTTTCTGCCTGCTTTTTTTTGTATATTTTTGACTATTTTGGCTCTTGGTTGCCTTTGATTTTTATTTGATGTGGCACAAATAAGTAAAACATTTCCAATTTCTTTCATTTTGTTCTTTCCCCATAACCCAGATGTTTATTCTATTATTTGTAGTGTCTTTTCAGTAATTATAAACATGCAAATAAATATATTAAATAAAATAAGAAAGAAAAAGAGAATAAAAAATACATTTTTGTGAAAATGTTTAAGTAATTTAACAGACAAATGACAAATCTGTATCCTAATCTAAAACTATGTTAATAGATTGGTAGATGATAGATAGATAGATAGATAGATAGATAGACAGATAGATAGATAGATAATTTGTCATTTGGAGAGAAAAAGCAGAACCAACACTGGCCTTCCCAATATTAAAGTGATAAAAATCATATCCACAAAAAATCTATAATTCATATAAGAAATGCCAAATCTACTCAATATAACAAAAAAGCCTTTGGACTCTCTACTAGGTGGTAACATTGTAGCAAGCACTGCCAGAAAAGAAATATAAATAAGTCATCTAAAACTCTACCATTTGTTTAGGTACATACTTTTCTAGTGCTATGGTATACATGTGTTCCCTCTAAACTTCAGGTGCTGCCAATGTGATAATAATAAGAGGTGGGACCTTTAAGAAGTGATTAGGCCATGAAAGCTCCTCCCTTGTGTATGGGATTAGATGACCTTATAATAGGACTTGATGGAGGGAGTTAGTCCTTGCTTGTCCTTCAGCTGGTAATCATGTGAAGACACAGCAAGAAGGCCCTCACCAGACACCGGATTCTAGTGCCTTGATCTCAGACTTTTGTGCCTCCAGTATTGTGATAAGCAAATTTCTCTTCTTTATAAATTTCCCTGTCTCAGATATTTTAAAATAGAAGCAAAAAGACAGAATTTGGTACCAGGATTGAGACATTACAATAACAAATAACTAAAAGTGTGGAAGCAGCTTTGGAACTGTGTAATGGGTAGAGGCTGCAATAGTTTTGAAGTGAATTCTAGAAAAAGCCTATACTGTCATGAATGGAACATTAAAGGCTATTCTTTTGAGAGCGCAGAAGAAGATAAGAGCTATTATAAAAGCTTCATTCTTTTAGAGATTACTTAAGTGGCTGTGAACAGAATGTTTGTAGAAATATGAACATTATAGACCATTCTGATGAGGTCTCAGATGGAATGAGAAAGAAGGTCTGGAAAATTGGAGGAGAGGTTATCCTTGTTATAAAGTAGCAAAGAACTTTGCTGAATTATGTCTTTGTCCTAGGACTTTGTGAAAAGCAAGAATTTAAAAATGATATACTAGGCTATTTGGAGGAAGGAACTTCAAAGCAGCAAAGAATTCAGGGTACTGCATGGTTTCCTTTAATTGCTTAGAGTGAAATGCAGGAAGAGAGATATGATTTAAAGACAAACTTTTATTGTTAAAAGGGAACCAGAGCATAAAGATTTGTACAATTCCCAGCCTGGCTATGTAAAGACTGAAAAATGTATAACATGTATAGGAGAGAACACCAAGGACGTGACCAAGGGCAAGTGACCATATGCTAAAGGGATTCATGCGATTAGAAAGAAGCCAGGTGCTATTTATCAAACCATAGAAGAATGACTTCAAAGGCATTTTGAAGATCTTTGGGGCAGCCACGTTCATTGCAGATCCATAATGGTAGGGCCTTGATGGCAGAATACTTGTGAAGGTGGGGACTGGGGTGCCAGTAGGAAACTCCAGGCTCACTGCCCAGAGCCATCTCAGATCTCTGCTTCCCACATTCAGGCACAGAGCTCCTCAGCATCCCAGATGTGGCCCAGGTGACCCCCAGTGTGGTTTGAACCACTCCTCTGGGGGACATAAATCATTAACCTTGGCAGCATAATCATGGTGCTAACTCTTTTGACTCAATGAATGCAGAAACTGTAGAGGCATGGCTACCTTCAGCTAGATTTCAAAAAAATGTCCCAGAGAGCTTCAGGGCCCAGGCAGAGAACCACCAAAGGGCCAAGAGTTTCAAACACAGCCCCTAATAGGGCAATACCCAGGGCCCTGTGGGGTCTGGGCCACCACAGAGAGTCCCCACAAAGAAAATGTTTACTAGGCAGTGCAGGCAGAGACACCCATGAGACCTCAAAACAGTAGAGTGACCAGTGTACAGTGCTAGCCTAGAAGAGTCGTAGGCATGCAACTTCAATGCACGAGAACTGAAGCACAGATGGGGGCAGACCTATCTGAGGCCTTGGGGGTCCCACTTCCATCCCAGTGTGTCCAGAAGGTGAGACATAAGAGTGAAAGAAGATGAGCTCAAGGCTTAAGATTTAATGTTGTTTGCTCTGTTGGGTCTTGGACTTACATAGGACCTGCCACACCTTTCCTTTCTTCTTTCCTATTTTTCCCTTTCAGAAGGAAAATGTCTGTCCTTTACCTGTTTCATAATTGTAAATCGAAAGCGCATAAGTTGTTTGATTTCACAGGCTCACAGCTGGGGTGGACTTTGCCTCAGGATGAACTGTACCTTGAATCTCATCCATATGATGTTTAGATAAAATTTTGGACTGAGTCTGTAAAGTTGTTGGTGGAATGAGTTAAGACTTTGGGGAGTTATTGAAATGGAGTAAATGTATTTTGCATATGAGAAGAACACAAATGGGGAGGCAGGGAAAGAAGGCTGTGTTGTGAATATATTCCTTCCAAATTCAGGTGTTGCCAATGTGATAGTATTTTAATAGTTGGGACAATTAAGATGAGATTAGACCAGCAGCGCTGCTCTATTGAGAATGGGATTAATTCTCTTAATTGCCCTTATACAGGTGCTTCATGGAGAGAGTTTGTCGCTTTTTTGTCCTTTTGCCTTCTGCCACATAAGGACACGGAATTCCTCTCCAGAAGTAGCAGTTAAGAGGCCTTCTTGGAAGCAGAGACCAACTGCTTAGAAACAGAGACCTCACCAGACAACAAACCTGCCAGCACCTGTGCCTTGATCTCAAACTTTGCAGCCCCAGAACGGTAAGAAATAAAATTCTGCTCTTTAAAAATTACCCAGTCTCAGGTATTTTGTTTTCTGCAGCATATGCAAAATGCTAAGGCATCTAGTAAATTGTCTAAAGTAAACTGTTATTAAAATAATTTTCTCTATTTCTGTGTGAAATGATTTCCTTATCTTGCTGTAAGAAAGAATATCATAGAAATGCTACACATATGGAATAAAGAGGATTTTAGCAGTGCTCTGGTTTATTTTTTCCCAAAAAAACTCATGTTAAAGTTTGATCCCCACTGTGGTGCTGTTGGGGGTGGGGCTGGTGGGAGGTGTTTTGGTTATAGAGGTGGATCCCTCATGAATGGCTTGGTGTTCCAGTAGGGAGTGAGTTATCACTCTTACAAGACTGGATTAGTTTTTGCAGAGATGTTCCTTCGAGAGTGTGTTGTTATAAAGCCAGGCTGCCCCTTAGGTTTCGGCTCTTCATACATGTCCATGCCCCTTTTGACTTTCTTCGTCGCGTTATGACACAACACAAAAAGCCCTCACCAGAAGCTGAGCAGATGCCAGCTCTGTGCTTGTTGTACTTCCAAGCCTTCAGAACCATGAGCTAAATAAACCTCTTTTCTTAATAAATTACCCAGACTCAGATATTCTGTTATAACAACATTACATGGGCTAGGACCAGTCTTCTGATTGGTCTATGTAAATGATGCTAAAACATTCCAATGTGCCCTTATACTGTATCAGTGCACTGCCTTGAGCATATAGATTTATTGAGTTTCTAAGCTAGAAGAAATCTAAAATGTCAGCTAACTCAGTGATTCTCAAAGTGTGGTCCCTAGAACAGCAACGACAGTAGCATCACCTGGTGATTCTGCTGCACATTAAGTTGCTTTAGCCCAGCTCCATTTTTATCAAAGGAACACATTAAAATCAGGAGAAGTTAAAAAGGTCACAGAGCTAAGTAAAGACTTGCATAACATAAAGTGTAACCCACAGTGGGCACTCAGTTATACAATATGACCCATAGCATAATTGAAGCCATGAAATAATTAAATATGTAACAATAAAATCATATTTTACATCTAAGTTATTTCTGCACTTTTGTTTATACTTCATTATTCTAGCACCAAAATTTGAATCTTATCAGTGAGATCATTTAGTATTATTTAACAGCTGATGATGATAAAATGCATTAAACATAAGAGTAGGTTTTAGTCCTGAGAGAATCTTTCAGAACAATAGGGAGACATTTTGTTTGTTTTGCCTTGTCTGACCTAAATTTGACCGTGAACTCAGTAGGACTTTAATTTTATTTTTGAAAAGAATTGGAGAAAACACTGAGCTAAGAAACAGAAATGGCAAAAGGCATTCCACAGAGAAATAATAAAGAAATTAGTGTATTTTTGGTATATAGAAAAGATCTGTGATCAGTGAAAAAGATAAGATTCTGGTTGTCTTTAAGCACTTGAAATACATATATTCTTGGCTTTTCAACTCTCAGTCTCCATTGGTTACCTCCCATCTGGAAAGAAAAATACCCAGGTGAACACTACCTTACCAAGAAATTAGGCTCAATTCTAAATCTTCATTTCATTCACCATTCTAACTTTATTTTTTCCTTCACTGCAAAATTTTTTAATTCAAGAATTTTGTTTTGCAATTATAAAACTACCATAGATCAAAGTTTAAAATGTGGAATGAAATGAACAAAGCAAACAGAAAGCATAACTTTTTGTTTGAAATACTTCCAAGTAATATTTGTTCCCAGATGGTATGTATATGTTAATTTTTGTAAGTGGAATGATACAGTACCTATTGTTTTAAGGCTTTTTTTACCCTAGTAACAAATTATGATTTCTTAAATTATAGTAAATCGCCTTTTGAAGGTATAATTGAAATGGATATTTAATATTCCCTTATATGAGCATTTCCCAATCTCCTATTTTTAAACATTTAGGTCATTTTTAATTGTTATGCATTGTTATGCTTGATTGGGTAATTACAAACATTTTTGTGGTATATAAATATATTCTTTGAATAGTTTATATTTTATAAAGTTCTTAACATAAAATATAAAAATTGAAATTAACCAACTTTATTACAAGCTTTCCTATACATTGAAAATTGCCTTTTACATCTCCCTAGAAGAATGTAAAATTAGAACTGACAGGTAGCATATAAAACTGTTCATTCTTTTATAACTTAACAGTTTTATAGCAAATAATGGCATCCATTTCATTATGTTATTACTGTTGTGAGTTAATTATTGGTCATTTTTATTTCTGGTTCAACTTCTCTGACCATCTTTAATGAAATATTCATGTGTTTCTTATTACTACACAAAAAATCTCTTTAAATATTAAGAAAACAAACTTTCCCTTTCTATTATAAATGTATTTTTCAACATTTTTGAGAGTATAGTTTAAAAGCACTCTATATTAATCTCTAAACTCATCAAGTTGTGTGATAGGTTGGTGCAAAAGTAATTGTGGTTTTTGCCATTAAAAATAATGTTACTTACTTTTAATTAAAAGTAATGGCAAAAACTGCAAATACTTTTGCACCAACCAAATGCACTACATATGTAGAGTTTTTGTATATCAATTATATATCAACAATTTTTAAAAATATACTCCATATTTTATTTGAATTACTTTCTCCTCAAATTTAAAAAAAAATTTCCTTTCATATTGCTGTTAAAAACTGCTGTTGCTAAGAACATCCTCATTACTGAGAAAAGTTTTTCTCCTCCTATGTTAACCCTGCATCATGCAGCTTTGTTGCTTTTGGCCTTTCTACATCTCAAAATTCCACTCCTTTGATTTTCCTGGTCCTGCTTCTATCTTTTGGACTAAGCCTTTCATTTCCTTCTTGGCTTCTCTTTCTTTGAACTCCTTACAAAAGAAAAGTTTCCTCTGAATTCTTCCCTTGGTTTTATGCCTTCAGTTTAATATTCTCACAAGAAGAATGAGATGCTGAGAAGGAAGGAGGTTATTGGATTCAGACTTGAAAGAATTTAACTTTGTCTTATATCTCCAGCTCTATCAGCTCCTCCTCACTTAGTAGCTACCAGTTATTCTTTTTCACAAAGAAAATAGAAGCCATCCAACTAGTCACACTTATGCCCGCAAATGCACCTGTATCCTTACAAGTTTTCTTCTCCTGTGTTCTTACAAAAGAAAAGCCCAACTGCTTGTCTTGGTCATGATATCTCCTGAGCCTACTGAGAGTTGCTTAAAATGAAACAACAACAAAACAGAAACATCACAAAATACATCTATCAAAGTGCAGGTGGCTAAAAGTATAAATTAACATTTAACAGCTTTAATTGGGCCCCAAAAACTCAGCAATTCTGAATTCTTCTACCAGTAAGTTCTCTCTCTCATCTTCTCTTCCTCACCCTCTCCCTTTCTTTATTCTCACAAGGAGTCTTTCATAACTTATATTCTCAGGATCCAGATTGTATGAATTGATATCTTCATGTACTCTGGCTACAAAGCCAACATTATTGTATATGATACCAGCATGAGCCAAAACAGTAGCTAGAAGTAGAGCCACAGTAAAATTATTATTTTACTTTTATGATGGATTATATCTAAATACAGTTAAAAGCTGAAGAGATGGGGTAGAATATTTTTGGAATGTAAATATAAATAATATTCCCAGCCTCAGTTTCACTGTCTGAACAATGGTGAAAATCCTTAAGATACCACTCAGAGTTGTGGTGAAAAATAAATATAAAATTTACATGCATTACCTAAAAAATAATACACATTTAATGTTTAAAATATTATAATTTTTAAAATTTTCCCTAGCCATTTAAAAATGAATTCTACATTAATTTTATAAATGCAGTTATTTCTGCAATCCCCATTCACTCTTAGACTCATCTAAAAATTAGAAATGGGCAGAAGAGATTACTAGGCTTTTTTCAGTGTAGTGCTGAGTTTGACTTTCTATTGATGAGACAATTTATTAATGTGTCAAGGCAGAAGTTAACTTGCATATTCTTACCTGTTCAAATTGCAGATTATTTCTGTCTGGTGAAACTAATCATTCCAGAGGTAAGAGTTTAAGGTTCTATTGGACATTAATCAGTTTTGCACCCACCCCAAAACTCCTAACATTTCTTTGTTAACTTGTCAACTTAAACCTACTTCACAAAAGCTCTTTGGACCATTCATAACATCTTTCTTATAATTAAGGAGGTGAATAAATTTTTTGACAAGGGTTCATTTTATTTTTACATAAGAGTCATGATTTCACCTTTTTAAAATCTACACTTGAACTCATTGCAACCTCTCATTTAACTTCAACATTTACAATTATGCTGCCAAGTAAAAATATGTATCTCTGTTGTCAACTGAGAAATGTGAGGCTCATACAGATTGAATAAATTACCCTATGTTAAACAGTTACAGAAGGCTAAACTTAGAGACAAATACTGAACTTTGGCTGTATGCTCAAGCTTCTCATATTAGGTCAAATGGCTATGTGCTGGAGTTCTAAAAATAAATTTAAATGTCCAAAAATAAGTTAAAATGTCAAGGCTTTTCAGTCTAATTAATTTTATTAAAACATTTTGGAAAAATAAGTAAGTTAAAATACTAATTTAATGCTGCAAAATATTTTTGCAGTTAATTCAAAATTACATGAATTTTTGGTTGCTCATGAAATGAACTTATTTTGAGCTGTACTCTCAAATTTCAGGGTGTTCTCTGTTATTGGGATACATTGATTAAAAACATTGAGAAGCACTACTGAGCTAAAGGTTTCTCTCAATACATAGAACAAATAGCATATTATTCCTATACATAATGAAACGTAATTGTAGAATTTGATGGCCTTACCAGCTGGCAGAATCCTCACATTGGCTCCCTGACTGGTAGGATGAGGGCTATTACTGTGGGAGAGGCCAAATCGATCCATTAGAGCTGCCTCTAACTAGAAAAATAGTAAATCAAAAAATAATATCGCATCCCTGGAGTGATTGCAGAGATCAGTGGCACCATCAAGGACTTGAAAGATGCAGGGGTGGTGATTCCCACCACATTCCTCTTCAACTCTCCCAATTGGCCTGTGCATAAAACAGATGGATATTGGAGAATGACAGTAGATTATTGTAAGCTTAACCAAGTGGTGACTCCAATTGCAGCTGCTGTACCAGATGCAGTTTCATTTCTTGATCAAATTAACACATCTCCTGGTACCTGGTATGCAGCTATTGATTGGCAAATACCTTTTCCTCCATTCCTATCCATAACGCCCACCGGCAGCAATTTGCCTTCAGCTGGCAAGGCCAGCAATATACCTTCACTGTCCTACCTCGGGGGTATATCAACTCTCTGGCTTTGTGCCATAATCTTGTTTGCAGAGATCTTGATTGCTTTTCCCCTCCACAAAATATCACACTGGTCCATTACATTGATAACACTATGCTGATTGGATCCAGTGAGCAGGAAGTAACAAACACATTGGACTTATTGGTAAGACATTTGTGTGCCATGGGGTGGGAAATAAATCCAACTAAAATTCAGGGACCTTCTACCTCAGTAAAGTCTCTAGGGGCCCAGTGGTGTGGGGCCTTTTGAGATATTCCTTCTAAGGTGAAGGATAAGTTGCTGCATTTGGCCCCTCCTACAACCAAGAAAGAGGAACGACACCTAGTGCCCCTATTTGTATTTTGGAGGCAACACATTCCTCATCTGGGTGTGTTAATCCAGCCCGTTTATCAAGTGACCTGAAAGGCCACCAGTTTTGAGTGGAGCCCAGAGCAGGAGAAGGCTCTGCAATAGGTCCAGGCTGCTGTGCAAGCTGCTCTGCTCCTTGGGCCACATGACCCAGCAGATCAAAAGGTGCTGACACTGAGGTGTCAGTGGTGATAGGGATGCTGTTTGGAGCCTTTGGCAGGCTCCCATAGGTGAATCACAGTGGAGATCTCTAGGATTTTGGAGCGAGGTCCTGCCATCTTCTGCAGATAACTACTCTCCTTTTGAGAGACAGCTCTTGGCCTATTTCTAAGCTTTGGTAGAAACTGAATATTTAACTATGGGTCATCAAGTCACCATGCGACCTGAACTGCCTGTCATAAACTGGGTGCTTTCTGCCCCATCTAGTCTTAAAGTGGGCACAACAGCATTCCATAACCAAATGGAAGTGGTATACACATAACTGGGCTCAAATAAGTCCTGAGGGTAAAAGTAAGTAACACGAGGAAGTGGCTTAAATGCCCACTGTCCCCACTCCTGCCACTGTGCCTTCTCTCCCCAGCCTGAACTGATGGCCTTATGGGGAGTTCCCTATGATCCATTGACAGAGGAAGAGAAAACTAGGGCCTGGCTCTGCATGATAAGTAGGCACCACTCAAAAGTGGACTGCTGCTGCACTACAGCCCCTTTCTAGGACATCCCTAATGGACAGTGGCAAAGGGAAATCTCCCAGTGGGCAGACCTTCAAGCTCTGTACCTGATTGTGCACTTTGCTTGAAAGAAGAACTGGCCAGATATGTGATTATATACCAATTCATGGGCTGTAGCCAATGGTTTGGATAGGTGATCCTGGACTTGGAAGAAGCATGATTGGAAAATTGGTGACAAAAAATTTGGGGAAGAGGTATGTGGATGGACCTCTCTAAGTGGTCAAAAATGGTGAAGATATTTGTATCTCATGTGAGTGCTCACTAAAGTGTGACCTCAGCAGAGGAGGATTTTAATAATGAAGTGTATAGGATGACTCATTCTGTGGACACCACTCAGCCTCTTTCCCCAGCCAGCCCTGTCATCGTCCAATGGGCCCATGAACAAAGTGGC